>NC_000013.11:76135378-76286893 GCF_000001405.40 Homo sapiens | reverse complement strand
AGACATACATAGTGTGTGTCTTTAAAAAAGTTAGAAAGAATTTGACAACTTCCTCAAATAATACTCTAGACTTTTTCTAGCATCAGGAAGAAACCTGAAAAGGAAAATAGAAAAAAAAAATACCAAAGCCATGTGTTTCTACTATCTATCTATCTATCTATCCATTTACTCCTTTTCCTCCTCCTCACTACCCATTGGGTATTACACAGTGCAGGTTCACACTTGATGAGCATGAAGCAGAAGACTTTCCTGGCACTTAAATGAGACTGATTTTACCCATTTCCCATTTAATTTCTACATTATTATTAATAGTATTAAGAACCACTTTGTTCTCTCCTATTAGAAATTGTTCATGACTTACTCTGGCAACTGTAGCCGAGAACAAGTTTTTGTAATTTAAGCTTTGAACCACAAATATGCATTTTTCTGTATCCAAAAATAGTCTCAATCAAATAAGGTCAGAATAGTGGTTACCAAGCAGTTTGCAAAAGCAAGGACATCCAACTTTCCAGTTTATGGCTAGAGAAGAAGTTACATGTAAAAATAAAATGTGTTTCATTGTTAAGCAAACATTCTCTATTTGGTGTGAGTCAAAAGTGTGGGCCGCTTATCTGCACATATGACTAGCAAAATTCGAGCTACAGAAATTAAAGCCGAAAGCCAAGTTAATAACTTTAAGTGGAAGATAAGGGAAAATGAAAATAAAGGTCCTAAAAAGCTATTTATAAATTAAGCAAGTCTGCTAGACATACAAATCCTTGTTAGAGTGAGTGTGGTTAAGGAAAGCTAGTTAGCTCTCAAGGGTTCCAAAATGACACATGAAAAGGTGATTTTTATCAGTTAAAATAAGGCTTGGCTGTACTAAACACAAATATTGTGACTGATGATGAGAAATACAAGATTGTTCTTTTTCTCTCTCATTTAAAAAAGGTCCAGAAGTGGGCAGGTTAAGGCTGAAGTGGCAACTCCATCTTATCATCAGATCAGGAACCCTGACATCCATCTTTCCACTTCACTATGCTAACATAAAGTGTCTGCTATTTCCATGGTGTTCTTGTAGGCAGTAGCAAATCCATACAGGTCTGCAGCAATTCAATTCTTGCCTCCTTGGAGGAAAGAATTCAGCAGAGAGGCATAAAGCAGAGCGAGAGGCTGAGGCAAGTTTTAAAGCAGGAGTGAAAGTTTATTCAAAAGTTTTAGAGCAGGAACGAAAGGAAGTGAAGTACACTTGGAAGAGGACCAAGCGGGCAACTTGAGAGATCGAAGAGCACCGTTTGGCCCTTGACTTGGGGTTTTTACACACTGGCATGGTTCAGAAGTTTGCATTTCTTTTCCCTTGATTTTTCTTTGGGGTGGGCTGTCTACATGTGCAGTGGCCTGACAGCACTTGGGAGGGGTCGCATGTACAGTGTGTTTACTGAAGTTGGGCACGTGCTCATTTGAGACATTTTTTCCTTACCAGTAGAGTGTTCCTAGAGGAAGGTCATATACCAGTTGAAGTCTTCTTTTTTGTCTCGTACTGTGCATGCTTGAGCCCGTTCACCCAGCTCCTGAACAAGATCTTATCAGGAAGTTGCTGACCACCAGCTTCAGGTGTTTTCTATCTATTAGGAGCCTGCCTTTCCTTGGTGCCAGCTACAACCAATTATTATTTTAGAGAGACTCTTTAACAACTGCCTGACCATCACCTGATGGTCACCTGATATTCCTGGGAGGCAGAGGGGACGGGGAGGGGGGGACCCTCTCCTGTTCTGCTCATGTTTGCTTAGCTACCTACTCTAACATTCTCATGTTTCGAAGTGATGGCTGGATCTCCAATCACTTTGGCATTGCAGGCCAGATGAAGAACAAAAGATAAAGCAAAAAACATCTCCCTCCTTAATAATTTAAATCCATAAACAGCCTTTCTAGAATTTCACATATATGTTTCTGCTGTGGTAAGTACTACTTATTACAAGGCTACAGCTAGCTACAAGGGAATCTAGGAAATACTGTCCATTGTTTTTTTTTTAATTCCAGGTGACAGTGAGACCAGATGAAATGCAACATTTTGTTATTGTAGCAGAAGCGGAAAATTGATTTTTGTTCTAGGTAACTAGAAGTTTCTGTTCTACAACCACATGGAGGTAAGATAACCAAAAATGAAGGGCTTGGATGTGGCCCTCATAAATAGAGAAAAAGGGAATGGACGGGATAGTGCTATTCCTTACAAATGTTGAACAACAAAAGAACACTCATTCTCCCTCCCCGCTATTCATGACACCACAAAGTATACCCAGTTTAGTGTTATGTGTTTATGGTGAGTTGACTTTACCAGATATTTTGCTGATAAATTTACCTCTTGAGCCAACCATATGACATAGGTACTACTTTCTCCATTTTATAGATGGAGAAGTAAACCAAGGAGTTGGCAGAGTGGCTCATGCCTGTAATCCCAGCACTTTGGGAGGCCAAGCTGGGTGGATCACTTGAGGTCAGGAGTTTGAGACCAGCCTGGCCAACATGGTGAAACCACATCTCTACTAAAGATACAAAAAATTAGCGGGGTGTGGTGGTGTACACCTGCAGTCCCAGCTACTCAGAAGGCTGAGGCAAGAGAATCACTTAAGCCTGGGAGGCAGAGGTTGCAGTGAGCCAAGATCGCGCCACTGCACTCCAGCCTAGGCAAAAGAATGAGACTCCGTCTCAAAAAAACAAAACAAAACAAAACAAAACAAAAAAAAAAACTAAACCAAGGACCTGGGATTAGAATTGGTAAAACCATGATTTGGGCCCAGACATTTAAATCCCAGAGTCTTATTTTTCACCATTGTGCTGTATTATGTTCCTTTTAAAAATACCTTTAACAGAACCAAGACCACGGTGGAATACCTGAGACTTATATGCCCTGGCACCACAAAACTCAATAGACAAAATCAGCAATATTTTTATAAAATATTTTTAAAATAAATATTAGGCAAAATTCATGATAAAATAACTATTAAAGGTATAACAGATTGAGGCAGGAAAATAAATATTCCATAATTTTTGATTTTATGACAAGAGAAAGATCGATCCCATTTCTTAAAACTTGCATGTCACCTAGAACAGCATTTCTCAATAACACCACTATTGACATTTTGGGCTAAATAAGTTTTTGTTGTGGGGCAGAGGAGTGCTGTCCTGTGCATGGTAAGATATATAACAGCAGCCCTAGATGCTGTGGATTGGGTACTGATAGCACCCTATAGAACTGTAAGAACCAAAAATGTCTCCAGACATTGCCAACTGTCCCATAGGGGACAACTTCACCATGGCTAATAACCATTGACCTATATGCATCACATTTTTTTTTCTTTTGGATTGTTAAAAATAATTTTAAGTCTCTTGAAAACTGCACACATTTTTCATAATAGTCATCCCAGAAATATGGTAAATGACTTTATTTGTGATAGGTTTATTTATACAAGCACACCAAGCGTATGTAATGAGTTCAACTTTTGCTTATTGTAATTTACATAGTCCTCTACAACTCAATTATTGGCTATTTGAAAAAGACAGAGGAGCTTAGATGAGTTGAAGTTAAATTTTTGTAATAGCACTACAGGTTAAGCATTCCTAATCTGAAAATCCCAAATTTGAAATGCACCACACCTGACCTCATGTGACAGGTCACAGTCAAAACATAGCAAAAACTTTGTTTTAACACATACAATTATTTAAAATATTGTATAAACTTACCTTCAGACTATGTGTACGAAGTGTATATAAAACTTAAATGAACTTAGGTCCCATCCCCAAGAGACCTCATTGTGTTTATGCAAATATTCCAAAATCCGAAAATAAATGAAACCCAAAACAATTCTGGTCCCAACTATTTTGGATAAGGGATACTCAACCTGTATTGTTCTCACAATAAGAAGCAATTAACTTACACATCTTTCTTACCTCAAACATTCTTGTTATTCATAAGGAGTTAAGATACCTTGCCTTCATTAAATAAGCAAACAAATGAGATACACAAAAAGTAGCAGGGAAGGGCTGAACAAGAAAGAGGAGAAAGATTATGAGGGGCATGGAGACCCCAGGATAGTACACAGGTGCACATAATCATTCCTACTTGTGTGATGGTAAGAATCCAAATGGGGGTGAAGGATAAAAGACTACAAATTGGGTTCAGTATATACTGCTCGAGTGATAATGGGTGCACCAAAATCTCACAAATCTCCACTAAATAAGTTACTCATGTAACCAAATACCACTTGTTCTCCAAAAACCTATGGAAATAAAAAATTAACAAACAAACAAACAAACAAATGTAAATGGACTTTGGAGCCTCACTGATCTTGCTTTGAATCTTGACTCCTTCTTTTATTAACTGTATGATGTTGGCTAAGTTACTAATTTCTTTGCAAAGTACGCTTAATAATTTAAGCCTCTTATGGGGTCTATGGATATTAATTAAGGGAAAAGTATCTAGAACTGTGCCAGATAAGCAATGCATATTAGTTTCCATTATCTTTTTCTGTTTATGTTTAGATGATTTATTTCTTCATTTGGTTTATAATACATATTCATAAGCTCCTGAAACCTAGGAATGTGATACAGGGCAACATGTTTTCTATGCAAAATTTCACTGCAACAAAATAATGCAGGTGGGCCATGAAGTTGGTCTTGTTTGTGCTTCTTTGATCCTTACGTTTCCCTGTAATTCATCAATTCCTGAGTACAATTGCCCTGTTCCCGAGACCACTGAGATAAGTAGATTTGATACCAAATGATTATATCAGACTTCCAGAAATCAGGTTGGTGGGGTGAGCTGCCTCAATATTAATGTTTGCGTTAAAATAAAACTACCCCATCCCTAGTTTAGATAATACTAAATTTGTATTTTTTGTTACATAAAATTAAAATGATAGGTAAATATTATTTATAAAAATATTTGATGTTTTTCACAATGAATGTCTCAATGGCCCATTTTTTTTCCTTTTCTCATATTGAGATATCATTAAGTTATCCCTAAAGTGTTCTTTAGAGACTTTCGATGGGAAATAACTCTTCTGTGTAGCATCCATCTTTTTGCAGTTTTTTTACACACTTTTCACTTAATGTTGAATATTGTAAGCCAACGTTATTTGACAATGTCTATCATTCTCTTTTCAGATCCTCTTTTTGAAGTAAAAATAGTGAAATAGCTTTCTTTTTAATAATGCACTTAATTTTTTTTTTTTTTTTGAGAC
Organism: Homo sapiens; assembly: GCF_000001405.40. Classification (NCBI taxonomy): domain Eukaryota; kingdom Metazoa; phylum Chordata; class Mammalia; order Primates; family Hominidae; genus Homo; species Homo sapiens. Next base: position 76,281,674 of record NC_000013.11, on the reverse strand, counting down.
AGGCTCTCTCACTTGGTTACCCAGACTGGAGTGAAGTGGTGGGAACACGGCTCACTGTAGCCTCAACCTCCTGGGTGCAAGTGATCTTCCTGCCTTAGCCCCCCAAGTAGCTGGGATGACAGGGGCTCCACCATGCCTGGCTAATTTTTCTATATTTTGTAGAGACAAGGTTTCACCATGTTTCGCAGGCTGAAATACACTTTTTCAAAATAAAAAATTATGCTATTTCCATGAATAAAGAGATTTCACAGAATGGCTAAAACATCTAGCAATTAAAATAATACTATTTCTCCACAACGTTCAATTTAAATAACCCGTCAAACTCCTTTCAGTGAACTTAAATTATTCACAAACAAGGAATTTTTAAAACCACATTTATTGAAGGAAACCATAAATAAGAAGCTCAATTTCGTTGTGTATCCAATGCATTTAATGAATCTACAAAGTGTAGATAGCTATTTCACTTGGGTTTTTGCTGCATGAGAGACTATAAAATGCACATCAAAAATACTCCCCAGGACAATCAGAAGAATTTTATTATTGGAAACGAGAGAGAACACTGTCCTAGAACCTTAGATGAGTAGTGCATGAAACAATACAAAAGCAGAGATATTACTACTTTCTGTTGCAAGTTGGGCAATCAGTGAAGCAGACTCTAGGATGAAAGTTAACATGGAGGAGGATTCTTAGGAAGCACTCTTGGGATCAACACCTGTGGAAATGAAGAGAAAGAGGCAGGATTTGGCAGAGGAAGATGTTGGGCTGTGATGCAGTCACAACGAAGGCCGTTAGCCAACCATATTGAATCAAGGGTGGTCCTTAACAGTTTTTAAGAATTAAAGGAGAAGACAGAGCCTTTACATTCTTATGTCCAGTAGTTATGACCTTGGGCAAGATAGCACTCCTCAGCAGAGGCAATTCAGAAGAGGGCTGATAGCTGAGGTCTGGATGCCAGTGGCACACTCAGAAACTGCGGCGATATGTACTTTATTCCTGAAGGAGAATCTAGGTGGCACATCTTAGTATTTACTGCTGCTGTACTGTTTTTTCCTTTCATATATTTAGATTCAGGGAGTACATGTGCAGGTTTGTTATATGGGTATATTACATGATGCTGAGGTTTGGGTTTCTAGTGATCTGTTCACCCAAGTTGCAAACATAGTACTTGATGGGTAGATTTTCAACCTTTGGCCCCCTCTTTCTCTCCCTCTTTTGGAAGCTCTGGTGTCTATTTTCCCATCTGTGTCCCTGTGTGCCCAGTGATTGACTCCCACTTGTAAGTAAGAACATGTGCTATTTGGCTTTCTGTTTCTGCATTAATTCGCTTAGGATGGTGACCTTCAGCTGCATCCATGTTGCTGCAAAGACCATGATTTTATTCTTTTTTATGGCTGCATAGTATTCCGTGGTGTATATGTAGCACATTTTCTTTATCCAGTCCATCACTGATGGGCACCTAGGTGGATTCCATGTCTTTGCTATTGTGAATAATGCTGCAATGACTACATGAGTACATGTGTCTTTTTGGTAGAATGATTTATTTTCCTTTGGTTGTATACCCAGTAATGGGATGACTAGGTTGAATGGTAATTCTATTTTTAGTTCTTTGAGAAATCTCCAGACTGCTTTCCACAGCAGCTGAACTAATTTGCATTCCCACCAACAGTGTATAAAGTGTTCCCTTTTATTTTCAACTTCACCAACATCTGCATATTTTGACTTTTTAATAATAGCCATTCTGACTGGTGTGAGATGGTATCTCATTGTGGTTTTGATTTGCATCTCTCTGATGATTAACCATGTTGAGCATTTTTTCACGTTTGTTGGCTGCTTGCTTGTATGTCTTCTTTTGAGAAGTGTCTGTTCATGTCCATTGCCTATGAGGTTATTTGGGTTGTTTTCTTATTTGTCTGAATTCCTTATGGATTTTGGATACTGTCCATTGTTGAATGCATAGTTTGTAAAAATTTTCTCCCATTCCATAAATTGTTTACTCTGTTGATAGTTTCTTTGTTGTGCAGAGGCTCATTATACAATACTATGAAATAAATTCTTAAAAACCATGATTAATGTCTCCAAGAAAGAAAATAAGCTGGTTGAAAAACAAAGCCACGAATATAGAATTACCTATTTTTAAAGGTATTAATGGCTGCTACTGTTGGCCAGCTGAAACATTTAGCAGATGGAGACACTAAGATATCAGTATGTAAATGGTTTTGTCCTGGGTCAAGGTGTTGGTCTGTGTAGACTCAGGCCTTTATGCCCTCTTGTTCTTTTCCCTATAATACTCTGTACAGGGTGCTTCCCTCTTGTTCTCTAATACATTTCTTTCCTTCCCTCCCTCTTTCTTTCTCTCTCTTTGACCGAGTAGAGTCTTGCTCTGTTGCTCAGACTGGAGTGGCATGGTGTGACCTTGGCTCACTCCTACCTCTGCCTCCCAGGTTCAGGCAATTCTCCTTACACAGCCTCCTGAGTAGTTGGGATTAAGGTGTGTGTCACCACACCAGGCTAATTTTTGAATTTTTAGTAGAGACAGGGGTTCACCATGTTGGCCAGGCTGGTCTCTAACACCTGGCCTCAAGTTTTCCACCTGCCTCAGCCTCCCAAAGTGCTGATTACAGGTGTGAGCCACTGCACCTGGCCTCTAATAAATTTATTTCTTAGTGGTCCTGGATAAAAGTGATCTGTAAAAGTTGGAGAAAAATAACATATACATGACATATAATATAAACGTAACATAACATATATGTAAAATAACATATATACAAAAACCATAAACATTTGGGGAATTGAATGCCTATAGTTACACTGTCAAACCCTAACAAATTTCCAACCTTTCCAAAAGTGCTTTGATTACATCTACTTCTTCCTTTATCCTGCTCAGTGGAGAGGGATAGGTAGTAGTGCGAAAATGGGAAGTTATCTCTTTTTGGTTGCCCTGAGGTGTCAGAGTCAGGGAAACTGCTAGCACCACAATGATAAGCCCTGTGCTCAGCCCCAATCTTGGAAGATCCACTGTATGGCCATACCGGAACTGTATTTATCTGGATTGTTAGACATAGATGATAACAGCGAAGTTGGGTCACATTCCCTTATTGCCTGTGGATTTAAGTCCTTTCTAAGTTCTACCCCGAGAAGCATTTCCTGGTATTGCACTAATGGATTACCCAGGACACTAGAGGATCTCTGCCAAAAAATGTAAGATCGCTTATCTCAGCCTAAGTAGTCAATCTATTTCCATGTTTACATTTGAACTCAGTCTCTGAAATCAAAACACTCAACAAAAGAAATGGAGATGTGACTATTCTAACCTCTTCACCAAAGATAAACCAAAGATTGAAAACAGTTGTAGATCTCTCAAAGTATGAAATACTATCAATAGTATATTCACCATTGGCTACTGTACAAGTTTCAGGTTGGGCCAATGGAGAAGGTAGAATGTTCACAGACTTGCCTTCTAGCTGCCTAGATCGTGTCCTGCCATCTATATTGCACTTACCAGCCCACATATCCACTGTTGAATCAAATCTCAATAACTGTTGGTAACCAGGTCAGCAACACTGCTGCCCCTACTAGACACTGCAATTGTGTTCCACAAGTATGCAAGTTGTTAAGGATGTTGGGCCATTACAAATGACACTGACTAGGCAGGGTGGAGCCAGGACCCATTCACACCAGAGAGCCTGACCCGTTATAAAATACAGAGCTGTAGGAGAAGATATTTGAAGTGTAAGTCTGTAATTTCTGTTTTGCTCTTAGTGTCTCTAGTGTCACAGTCCTGTGGCAATGTTTAGCCTTTTAAAAATTTAGTCACACATATGATCTGAATCCTTTTGCCCCCATCAAAATACCTTGAAATTAAATGTGGTATGAGAAATATATGAGTTAAAGGTGCTACCCCAGTCAAAACTTATCTAGAAGGGCTATCCATGGTTAATTCTAAGGCAGGAGTCATCCTACCTAAATGGATAGGTCAATCAGATTTTTCAAATTGAATGATGAGGTAATTTTTATGCTACCATCCTAGGTCGAAGACCAATAAGTAAGATGCCCAAGCAGAGTGCTGAGTTTGGCAAACTGAGCACACAGAAATTGTTAAATTTAAGTTCCACAAATTCTGTCGCTTCTACTAATTTAATTACAAGGTCTTTCTTGGCAGGTGATAGTTTGATCCACATTTACCATTATTCAGCACATTTCTTGAATTGTATTTCTATTTACCGAGGCTTGTTTCTGGAGGTAAGAGAGAAATTCAAGTAAAATGCATCTGCTTCTAACACTGCTTACTCCCAGAGACTCTTTCCAAAAGTCAAAATCAAGTGGCCCAAGTCTTGAATTTCGCCACATCGATTCAGCAGATATGTTGGCTAATTAAATTTTAGAATGCAGATAAAGAAAGTGAGTATCAAAATGGATCCTAAAATCCTCCAGTCATCTCTCTGGCAGGTACATTAGAAGAAAATTTAGTAAATGCGTGCTCCTACGGTCCTTAAATTCAACCTGTTTGTGATAATGGAAGCGTAAGCAGTAGAAGATGAGCATTTTAACACTGACATCTTGATTCCCCCAAAGCCTGAGATTCTGAGTCCTAAGATTTCATCTTTGATTTGAGGCAACCTGTCACGGTGAAAACACTACCAGAATATTAAAATCCTGCCTTCTCTGCAGTAGAGCATCCAAAAATACTCATGTCTACTTCAGTGCTTCATAAATGCTCCTAATATTTATATAAAATATAGCTATTTTATATTAATTCATATAAAACATAACTATTTTATATAGTTCATATAAAATACAACTATATAATTCATATATAATACATTTTATATAGTTCATATAAAACACAAGTATTTTATATAGTTCATATAAAACAACAATTTTATATAATTCATATAAAGTTAAATACTAGAATGCCTTTAGAATTATAATTCTGTAATAATAAATATTATATAAAAATAAACACTTCATAGATTCTAGATTTTGTTCCCAATTCTGTTCCCAAACTCTTTGTTTTTGTTTTAAAATTTCTTTTATTTATTTATTTACTTATTTCAATAGGTTTTTGGGGAACAGGTGGTATTTGATTACATGAATAAGTTATTTAGTGGGGATTTCTGATATTTTAGTGCACCCATCACCCAAGCAGTGTACACTGTACCCAATATGTAGTCTTATCCCTCACTACACCCACCCTTTTCCCAGAGTCCCCAAAGTCCATTTTATCATTCTCATGCCTTCACGTCCCCATAGCTTAGCTCCTACTTATGAGTGAGAACATACGATGTTTGGTTTTCCATTCCTGAGTTGTTTCAGTTAGACTAATGGTCTCCAATTCCATAGACGTTGCTGCAAATGCCATTATTTCATTCCTTTTATGGCTGAGTAGTATTCCATCATATATATATATATATATATATATATATATATATATATATATATATATAAAATATACATATCACATTTTCTTTATCTGCTTGTTGATTGATGGGCATTTGGGCTCATTCCACATTTTTGCAATTGTGAATTGTACTGCTATGAACGTGTGTGCAAGTACCTTTTTTGTATAATGACTTCTTTTGCTCTGGGTAGATACCCAGGAGTAGGATTGCTGGATCAAATGGTAGATCTACTTTTAGTTACTTAAGAAATCTCCACACTGTTTTCCATAGTGGATGTACTAGTTTCCATTCCAACCAACAGTGTAAAAGTGTTCCCTTTTCACCACATCCACACCAGCATCTATTTTTTTATTATGGCCACTCTTGCTATCACATTGTGGTTTTGATTTGCATTTCCTTGATCAATCATGATGTTTAATATTTTTTAATATTTTTGTTGGCCACTTGTATATTATTTGTATTGTCTATTCATGTCCTTAGCCCACTTTTTGATGGGATTGCTTCTTTTCTTGCTAATTTGTATGAGTCCCTTGTAGATTCTGGATATTAGTCCTTTGTCAGAAGCACAGATTGCTATAATTTTCTCTCACTCTCTGGGTTGTCTGTTTACTCTTAAGATATGTCCCTTCTATGCCAATTTTGCTGAGGGTTTTAATCATAAAGTGATGCTGAATTTTGTCAAATGCTTTTTCTGTACCTATTGAGATGATCATGTGATTTTTGTTTTTAATTCCGTTTCTGTGGTGTACCACATTTATTGACTCGTGTATGTTAAACCATCCCCACATCCCTGGTATGAAACCCAGTTGATCATGGTGGATTATCTTTTTGATATACTGTTGGATTCAGTTAGCTAGTATTTTGTTGAGGATTTGTATATCAATGTTCATCAGGGATACTGGTCTGTAGTTTTCTTTCTTATATCCTATCCTGGTTTTAGTATTAGGGTGACAGTGGCTTCACAGAAAGTTCTAGGGAGGATTCCCTCTTTCTCTTTTGGAATACTGTCGATAGGATTGGTACCAATTCATCTTTGAATGTCTGATAGAATTCAGCTATGAATCCATCTGGTACTGGAGTTTTTTATTGTTGGCAAGTTTTAAATTACCATTTCAATCTTGCCGCTTGTTATTGGTTTGTTCAGAGTCTCTATTTCTTCCTGGTTTAATCTAGGAGAGTTGTATATTTCCAAGAATTTATCCATCTCCTCTACGTTTTCTAGTTAATGCGTGTAAAGGTATTCATAGTAGCCTTAAATGATCGTTTGTATTGCCATTGTATTGGTTTTAATATCAACTGTTTCATTTCTAATTGAGATTATTTGGACCCTCTCTTTTTTCTTGTTAATTTCACTAATGATTTATCAAGTTTATGTATCTTTTCAATAACTAGCTTTTCATTTCATTTATCTTTTGTATTTTTTTCAATTTCATTTAGTTCAGCTCTGATCTTAGTTATTTCTTTTCTTCTGCTGGATTTGCGTTTGGTTTGTTCTTATTTCTCTAGTTCCTTGAGGTGTGACTTTAGACTATTTGTGCTCTTTCAGACTTTTTGATGTAGGCATTTAATGCTATGAACTTTCTTCTTGGCACTGCTTTTGCTGTATCCCAGATGTTTTTTATAGGTTTTGTCCCTATTATTCTGTTCAAATAATTTTTTTTTAATTTTCAAATTGATTTCATTGTTGACCCAATGATAATTCAGGAACAGGTTATTTAATTTCCAAGTATTTGCATAGTTTTGAGGGTTCCTTTTCGAGTTGATTTCCAATTTTATTCCATTGTGATCTGAGAGAGTACTTGATATAATTTCGATTTTCTTAAATTTGTTGAGACCTGTTTTGTGCCTATGATATTGTCTATCTTGAAGAATGTTCCATGTGTTGATGAATAGAATGTATATTCTGAAGTTGTTGGGTAGAATGTTCTGTAAATATCTGTTAAGTCCATTTGTTCTAGGGTATAGTTTAAGTCCATTGTTTCTTTGTTGACTTTGTCTTGATGACCTGTCTGGTGCTATCAGTGGAGTACTGAAGTCCCCTGCTATTATTGTGTTACTGTCCTATTTTACTAGTCCAATAGGAAAATTGATATATTTTATCAATATATGATATTCCTCTTTGACTTTTTTAACTGCTGTTGCTTTAAAGTTTGTTTTGTCTGATGTAAGAATAGCTACTTCTGCTTGCTTTTGGTGTCTGTTTGCATGGAATATCTTTTTCCACCCCTTTACCTTAGGTTTATGTGAGTCCTTATGTATCAGGGAAGTCTTGAAGACAGCAGATACTTGGTTGGTGAATTCTTATCCCTTCTGCCATTCTGTATCTTTTAAGTGAAGCATTTAGGCCATTTACATTCAATGTTAGTATTGAGATGTGCGGTACTATTCTATTCATCATGCTATTTGTTGCCTGAATAGGTCCTGTGAGATTTATGCTTTAAGGAGATTCTATTTTGGTGTATTTCTAGGATTTGTTTCAAGATTTAGAGCTGCTTTTAGCAGTTCTTATAGTGCTAGCTTGGTAGTGGCAAATTCTCTCAGGATTTGTTTGTCTGAAAAAGACTGTATCTTTCCATCATTTATGAAGCTTAGTTTCACTGGATACAAAATTGTATCCAGTGGCTGACAATTGTCAGTTAAAACTGGCTGACAATTGTTTTAAGGAGGATAAAGATAGGACCCCAATCACTCCTAGCTTGTAGGATTTCTGCTGAGAAATCTGCTGTTAATCTGATAGGTTTTCCTTAATAAGTTACTTGATGCTTTTGCCTCACAGCTCTTAAGATTCTTTCCTTCGTCTTGACTTTAGTTAACCTGATGACTACATGCCTAGGCAATTATCTTTTTGTGATAAATTTCCCAGATGTTCTTTGAGCCTCTTGCATTTAGTCTAGATCTCTAGCAAGGCCAGGAGTTTTCACTGATTATTCCCGCAAACATGTTTTTCAAACTTTTAGATTTACCTTCTTCCTTGGGAATACCAATTATTTGTAGATTTGGTCATTTGGTCATAATCCCAATTTCTTGGAGGTTTTGTTCAACTTTTTAATTTTTTTGTCTTTTTTTTGGATTGGTTTAATTTGAAAACCTTGTCTTTGAGCTCTGAAGTTCTTTCTTCTACTTGTTTGATTCTATTGCTGAGACTTTCCAGTGCATTTTGCATTTCTCTAAGTGTGTCCTTGATTTCCAGAAGTTGTGATTTTTTATTTATGCTATCTGTTTCACTGGAGATTTTCCATTCATATCCTATATCATTTTTTTCATTGCTTTAAGTTGGACTTCACCTTTCTCTGGTGCCTCCTTGATTAGCTTAATCATCAGCTTGAATACTTTTTCTGGCAATTCAGAGATTTTTGTCTTGGTTTGGAGCCATTGCTGGTGAGCTAGTATGATCTTTTGGGGGTGTTAAAGAACCTTGTTTGTCATATTAGAATAATTGTTGTTCTGGTTCCTTCTCATTTGCGTGGACTATGTCGGAAGGAATATCTGGGACTCAAGGACTGCTGTTCAGATTCTTTTGTCCCATGGGGTTCTCCCTTGATGTGATGCTCTCTCCCTTCTCCTAGGGATGGGGCTTCCTGAGAGCTGAACTGCAGTGATTTTTATTTGTCTTCTGGATCTAGCCACCCAATGGACCTACTTGGTTATGGGCTGGTACTGGGGAGTGTCTGCAAAGAGTCTTGTGATGTGATCCATCTTCAGGTCTCTGAGCTGTGGATACCAGCAGTTGCTTTGGTGGAGGTAGCAGTGGGGTGAAGTGGACTCTGTGAGGGTCCTTGGTTGTATTTTTGTTTGGTGCACTGGTCTTCTGTTAGTTGGCCTCCAGCCAGGAGGTGGCAGTTTCAAAAGCATATCAGCTGTGGTAATATAAAGAGGATCAGGCAGTGGGTGGGGCCACAGAGCTCCCAAGAGATTAAGTCCTTTGTCTTCGGCCACGAGGGTAGGCAGAGAAAGATCAACAGGTGAGGACAGGGTTAGGTGTGTCTGAGCTCAGACTCTCGGGGGGACTTGCTGTGGCTTCTGTGGAGGATGGAAGTGTGGTTCCCATGCCAATAGAGTTGTGTTCCCAGGGGGATTATGGCTGCCTTTACTGCATCACACAGGTCACCAGGGAAGTGGGGGAAAGCCAGTAGCCATAGGCCTCACCCGCTCCCACATAGCCCACAGCCTGAAAGGCCTGTCTCACTCCCATCTTGCCCCTCCAACAGCACCTGGTTTATTTCCAGGCAGCCAGTGAGCAGGGCTGAGAACTTGCCTCAGGCTACAAGCCTCCCAGCTGAGAAAGCAAGCCGACTCACAGTTCCTCTGCTGTCCCACTCTGCAGCAGCAAGCCACTTCCTTCAAAGGGTTTGTGGATTCTCTCAGCTTCCCTGGTATGTTCCTGCAAAAGGTCACAATGTAAGTCTCCACATGATGCTCTGTCCATCAAGTTGGAGCTGCAAGTTAGTCCTGCCTCCTTCCTCCATTTTTTTCTATCCCCTGTCCCCAGACTCTTGTATGAACTGGAAAACTCTGTTTTTATCTGTAAAATGAGGAGGCAGAATCAGATGATAACTAGGACGCCTGACCTTTAACAAAATCAACAATTCTACATTTATAGGAGAAAATGAAACAGTTTTAAGACCAAAGTTTTATATCTTCCTGTTATCAGCTTTTTAATTTATGTTTTCCCTCTTATTGTCACCAACTAAGTACAAGTCATCATCTCTTGATTAAAATTACATTAATAAATTTCTAACTTCCCTATGTATGTTCATGATTCTAGCTATACCTCATTTTCAACTCCTCTTTACCTGCAGCAGAATCCATTGCTCTTAGGTTTGTTCAAAAGCCTTAAGAAAATGTGGCACATATACACTGTGGAATACTATGCAGCCACAAAAAAGCATGAGTTCATGTCCTTTGTAGGGACATGGATGAAGCTGGAAACCATCATTCTCAGCAACCTATCACAAGGACAAAAAACCAAACACCGCATGTTCTCACTCATAGGTGGGAATTGAACAATGAGAACACTTGGACACAGGAAGGGGAACATCACACACCAGGGCCTGTCTGGGGATGGAGGGAGGGATAGCATTAGGAGAAATACCTAATGTAAATGACGAGTTGGTGGGTGCAGCACACCAACACGGCACATGTATACATATGTAACAAACCCGCACGTTGTGCACATGTACCCTAGAACTTAAAGTATAATAATAATAAAAGCCTTAACATAACCAGAAGATTAAGTATAAGCTAGGTCCTCCCCGAGATATAAATCTCATTTTTCACCATACTTCCATTGTGATGCTTAGTTTCATGTAACAATTTGACTGAGTTAAATGATGCCCAGATAGTGGGTAAAACATTATTTCCGGGTGTGACTGTGAAGGTGTTTCTGGAAAAGATTAATATTTGAATCAGTAGACTGAGTAAAGAAGATCTGCCCTAAACAATGTAGGTGAGTATCATACAATCCATCAAGGCTTGGATAGAACCAAAAGGTGTAGGAAAGTCAAATTACTCTCTCTCTCCTTGAGCTGGAACATCCATTTTCTCTTTTCCCTTCCTCATTGGAGCTCCTGGTTTTCATGCGTTCTGACTCTGAGACTTAACCCTTCCTCCCCCACCTCTTCCTCAATTCTTGTGCCTTCAGCATCAGACTGGGAGTTTCTCCATTAACTCCCCTAGTTCTCAGGCATTCTAACTGAGACTAAATCATACAGTCAGGTTTCCTGTTTCTCCAGCTTGCCAGGTGACATACTGTGGGACTTCTTGGCCTCCATAATTGCATAAGTCAATTCCCGTAATAAATCTTATATATCTATATGTATATTTCCTGTTGGTTCTATTTCTCTGAAGAACACTGACTAACACAGCTATCAAGCACTTCATTCAAATGTACTGGGACTCTTTCCCACCTCAGAGTCTTCTTACACTCACCATCATACCTTCTCATTAAGATGCTCACTGTAACTCCCATCTCTTCTTTTACTTCTCACTTTAAATTAATGCACTACCTCAGAAGTAAGCATTAGATGTCCTAGATGAGTTTTCTTTGATATAGCCTGCCTAAATATCCTATATTTTGCTTTACAACATTCATTGTAGTACTAATTGAAGGTATTTGGTGGGATTTTTTTTTTATATTTGTTTCCCTCAAAAGGTTGTTTATTTTGGTAACTTTCATCTACTCTGGGTCAGGCACAATTTCTAGCACAAAAGAACCGTTTGAAAATTAGTTGTGAAGATTGAAATATCTCTATTTCCCTGGTGTAATTCAATCCTGATACCCTTTTTCATACTCCCTTCATTTTTTAAATTTTACATAGTGCCCATGGATATAAGAAAAATACACGTGATATTAGATATCATGTAATGTGATTTAAATTACTAAGCTCAAGCTCTTTACCTTTGAAAAATATGCGCTATAATATAGTAGTGCATTTTTCAAAGGTAAAGACATATTATATGCTTTAAATATGTATGATACAATTAAACAAAACAGAAAAAGAAAAAAAAAAGAAAAATGCACTGTTCCAAATTTTCTCAGCCTACACTACTCAGCATATACATGAGTCATGTCTAATGCACAGCCTTTGCAAAATATCTGTAGTTAGCATGTGCACATCTTATAGCTTCCATCAATCAGTATTGGAAAGCAAGGAAAGAAATAGAATTTCTTCCAATCAAATTTATTCATGTGATTCATTAATGATTTGTCTTTAGAGAGTCTTCATGCACTAGCACCTTTGTATAGGAAAAGGCAAGATGTGCTTCTGAGCCAAGCAAATAAAAAAAACACGGAAATGATCTGTTCCATTGGTCTATATCTCTGTTTTGGTACCAGTACCATGCTGTTTTGGTTACTGTAGGCTTGTAGTATAGTTTGAAGTCAGGTAGCGTGATGCCTCCAGCTTTGTTCTTTTGGCTTAGGATTGACTTGGCAATGAGGGCTCTTTTTTGGTTCCATATGAACTTTGAAGTAGTTTTTTCCAATTCTATGAAGAAAGTCATTGGTAGCTTGATGGGAATGGCATTAAATCTATAAATTACCTTGGGCAGTATGTCCATTTTCACGATATTGATTCTTCCTATCCATGAGCGTGGAATGCTCTCAGAAATAATACCACACACCTACAACTATCTGATCTTTGACAAACCTGACAAAAACAAGAAATGGGGAAAGGATTCCCTATTTAACAAATGGAGCTGGGAAAACTGGCTAGCCATATGTAGAAAGCTGAAACTGGATTCCTTCCTTACACCTTATACAAAAATTAACTCAAGATGGATTAAAGACTTAAATGTTAGACCTAAACCATAAAACCCCTAGAAGAAAACCTAGGCAATACCATTCAGGACATAGGCATGGGCAAGGACTTCATGTCTAAAACACCAAAAGCAATGGCAACACAAGCCAAAATTAACAAATGGGATCGAATTAAACTAAAGAGCTTCTGCACAGCAAAAGAAACTGCCATCAGAGTGAACAGGCAACCTACAGAATGGGAGAAAATTTTTTCAATCTACTCATCTGACAAAGGACTAATATCCAGAATCCACAAAGAACTCAAACAAATTTACAAGAAAAAAACAACCCCATTAAAAAGTGGGCAAAGGATATGAATAGACACTTCTCAAAAGAAGACATTTATGCAGCCAACAGACACACGAAAAAATGCTCATCATCACTGGCCATCAGAGAAATGCAAATCAAAACCACAATGAGATACCATCTCACACCAGTTAGAATGGCGATCATTCAAAAGTCAGGAAGCAACAGGTGCTGGAGAGGTTGTGGAGAAATAGGAACACTTTTACACTGTTGGTGGGTCTGTAAAGTAGTTCAACCATTGTGGAAGTCAGTGTGACGATTCCTCAGGGATCTAGAACTAGAAATACCATTTGACCCAGCCATCCCATTACTGGGTATATACCCAAACGAATATAAATCCTGCTGCTATAAAGACACATGCACATGTATGTTTATTGTGGCACTATTCACAATAGCAAAGACTTGGAACCAAGCCAAATGTCCAACAATGATAGACTGGATTAAGAAAATGTGGCACATATACACCATGGAATACTATGCAGCCATAAAAAAGGATGAGTTCATGTCCTTTGTAGGGACATGGATGAAGCTGGAAACCATCATTCTCAGCAAACTATTGCAAGGACAAAAAACCAAACACCGCATGTTCTCACTCATAGGTGGGAATCGAACAATGAGAACACTTGGACACAGGAAGGGGAACATCACACACCATGGCCTGTTGTGGGGTGGGGGGTGGGGCGAGGGATAGCATTAGGAGATATACCTAATGTAAATGACGAGTTGATGGGTGCAGCACACCAACATGGCACATGTATACATATGTAACAAACCTGCACGTTGTGCACATGTACCCTAGAACTTAAAGTATAATAAAAAATATATATAAAAATAAAAATAAAAAATACGGAAATGAGACAACAGTGAAGGTTTGCATAGGGATTTACAAAGGATCTTTGTGGATTTACAAAAACAGATTTCTTTACACATATCAAATAATACAAAACAAATTGTATTCTTTTTGAATGTAAAATAAGTGAAAATATGTAAGTCATTTTCCATTCAAATTTATCATAGGATTCTTATTCTGTAATGCAGAGGCTCATTTGTACCAAGACTTACTCATCTGTAGAACTGTCATTTTAGGGTTTGAGGTGGAAGCAGGAAGAGCAAGGCAACCATTTTCAGTTTTCCTCCATCTCTTCGTCTTTCTCCTCCCCTTCCTCCTCCTTCTCCTTCTAGGAAAGAAGCAGAATAGCTATAGAAGGTATTCAGAAATCACGTGTTTTTTTTTTTCAGCTGGTATGCAATTAAGTTACATACTAGCCAAAAATAACTGGAATGCTATTCTTCCTTTTTCCATACTACATAGAAATTCCTATATGTGGAAAGCTGAAGCAAGAACAGTAGATACTGAAACCATGTCAAAGAAGACGGAACATAGTTTCTTGCAAGCACTTTTTTAATTCTTCCTTTATGATAGTTAATACAGCCCTGTGCTCTGCATGGCTGCTTTTTAAACAAGAAAGTCATAAGTGATAAGTAAATATGCTTAATGAAGCAAAGACAGTTCACTATAGTTATCGCCTCCTCTCTGCGCCAAAACAAGACAAAGTGAAAAATTAAATCTGTTAAATTAAACTGAATAACAGGATAAATGAAGACCTTCCATTCATGCAGATCAGGTAAATATTTATAGTGAGCAGGACTCACTATAATGTTTATATGAGTAGTGGCAGTCCTGTTATCCTGCTTAAAATGAAAGTCTCTATTTCTGATTTAATATGGTATCTGATGATCAATCACCAACACAGACTCTTCTATTTTTCATTGAAAATACATATATAGACAAAAATAGCAATAACATCAGTATACAGACACACACTAAACCCCTATTAGGTAAGATTTTCATGCAATGTATTTTCATAATATGGAAAGAATTTCAAATGACAAGATCAACTTAAATCAAATGGTGACTCATCTTTTATATGCTGCCAGAAATATCATATGCTGTCCATGTAAAAGTCAATTGATCTTGCATTTCTTACTCACTCAATACTCAGGTTAATTAATATATTGGCCAGCGGTGTCAATACTCTTAGGGCTGTGTTTTCAAAGTCCAGCATTTTGGGTCCCCTCATCTGTATTTCCCATCAGTATTTCTCTTTTTATTTGTATTCGGGTAATGAGTGCTGGTAAATATATCTCTTTGAGGTCAAGTGCTCTAGGTATTAGCAGAGGCAAGAAGGCAAGAGAATAAACAAGACTAAACATTTTCATGTGCACCATACAATCACAGTGATGGGTAATCAGATCATGAGGGTAGGAGAGGCTCTAGCAGATCTCAGCTGGGGAAACACACACACACACACACACACACACACACACACACTACCATTCACAATGGTAACTGGCTTGGAGCCATGCACATCTGTTTAGATAGTTCAGTGTGACCATAATTCTTAAGTAAATAAAAAGTGGGGCCAAAAACAATCTATGGCCCGCGGTTTCCGTTTATTGGCAATGCCAAATCTGGATAGACATTTACTTATTTAAATGTGTGTCTGTGTGTGGGCGGGGGGAGGGGGGATTATGCCTATAAATTTTTTCTGCAGTAAAAAAAAAAAGAAAGAGAAAAATCATTATTTATAATTAGAATCAATGTAACTACATTATTTAGAAAAGACGTTCAAATTAATAACTACATTTTTGACAGCTACCTCAAACACAGGAAGACATGATGATTTCAATGAAATATGAACAGAAAGTTAATAAAGATAAGCTGAAATGAAAATAAGAAAATTAAAAGGAGAAGAGTAAAGATAAGGAAGAATCAAAAAGGAAACTAATAATACAATATTAAATTTAAATTTGCAATGAACCAAGGAAAGCTAAATACATAAATCAGAAAAATAACATGAAAAACTATTGCTTATTAAAGGCAAATTAAAAGGACCAGGGAAAAAACTGAAAAAAGTCATCATTCTGAGGAAGATTGAGAAGAGTGAGAAATATGAATATTTGGAATAGAAGGAATACTAAAACACATAGTCTAAGAAAAAAATATCTAAGTTGGAAAAAAGCCTATGCAAATCTAAAACAGGATTATAAATATTCCAGGTAAAATAAGTAAAAAGAGATACTATTTTAGCTGAACAAAACACATACATTAAGAAAATCCAACGAGCTGTAGGCAGACAGATTCCTTACCAAAAAAATAAAAAATCTCAGACTTTATCATAAACAAAGCTATAATCTTTGGAGAAAATGAATTGGGTAGAAGAAATAGTTGCTCATTCAAAACATCCTCTGTTAGTGAAAGCAACAGAAATTAGTTTTAGGTACATAAATATTCATAAAAGCTTGGTTCGACTGTTTCTTTTCTATTTTTACTTCTTTGCTGATTTCTAACAAAGTATTTTCCTTCACTGCATAATCTATACAGTATCCTGTTGAAATATCCAATCCCTTTAGACAATAAAATAAAAGCTATTCTTTTCCAAAATTTACTGGTCATGGCTAATTGTATACAGCATTTCCCAAGTGACAGGTGCTTTTCTAAGCAAGTTACACATATTAACTTATCTATCCCCACTATATTTTCTCCAGTTCTCTAGGTTGTCAATTTTTGGGTTTTCTGCAATTGCTTTTGGGGACTTAGCCAAAAATTAGCCAAGGCTGATATCAAAAAAAAGTATTTCCTAGGTTTTCTTCTAGGATTTTTATAGTTTGAAGTCTTATGTTTAAATCTTTAATCCATCTTGAGTTAATTTTTGTATATAGTGAAAGGTAAGGGTCCAATTTCATTCTTCTGCATATGAACACATTCTATACATTCATTATCCCAGCATCATTTATTGAATAAGAAGTCCTTTCTCCATTGCTTGTTTCTGTTGGCCTTGTCAAAGATCAGATAATTGGTAGGTGTGTGGCTTCATTCTTGAGTTCTCTATTTTGTTCCATTGGTCTATGTGTCTGTTTTTGTACCATTGCCATGCTGCTTTGGTTACTGTAGCCTTATAGTATCGTTTGAAGTTGGGTTGTGTGATGCCACTGGCTTTGTCTTTTGTTTATGTTTTGTTTTGTTTTTGGCTTTGGATTGCTTTGGCTATTTGGGTTCATTTTTCAGTTCCATATGAATTTTAGAAGAGTATTTCTAACTCTGTGAAGAATGACATTGGTAGTTTGATAGGAGGAATGTTGAATCTGTAAATTGCTTTGGGCAGTATGGCCATTTTAATGATATTGATTCTTCCAATTCATGAGCATGCACTGTTTTTCCATTTATTTGTGTCATTTCTAATTTGTTTCAGCAGTGTTTTGCAGATCTCCTTGTAGAGATCTTTCATCTTCTTGCTTAGCTTATTCCTAGGTATTTCATTTTTGTGTATGTGGTTATTATAGATGGGATTATGTTCTTGATTTGAATCTCAACCTCGGTGTTATTGGTGTATAGAAATGTTACTGGTTTTCGCACATTGACTTTGCATCCTGAAAATTTACTGAAGTCATTCACCCATTCTAGAAGCCTTTTGGTGGATTATTTAGCATTTTCTAAGTATAAAATCACATTGTCAGTGAAGAGAGATCCTTTGACCTCTTCTTTTCCTATTTGGATGCCTTTTATTTCTTTCTTTTGCCTGATTGCTCTGGCTAGGACTTCCAGCACTATGTTGAATAGTGGGGGTGGTGAGCATGGGCATCCTTGTCTTGTTCCAGTTCTCAACGGAAATAGTTCCAGCTTTTGCCTGTTCAGTGTGATGTTGGCTGTGGGTTTGTCATTAGATGGCTCTTATCATTTTAGGTATGTTCCTTCAATGACTAGTCTGTTGATTGTTTTTATCATGAACAGATATTGGATTTTATCGATAGCTTTTTCTCAGTCTATTGAGATGATTATATGGTTTTTGCTTTTAATCTGTTTATGTGGTGAATCACATTTATTGACTTGTGTATACTGAACAGGATTGTAATTTTTTTTATTTGTTTGAGATAGGGTCTCTCTTTGTTGCCCAGGCTGAAGTGTAGTGGCATGATCACTGATCACAGTTTACATCAGCCTCGACTTCTTGTGTTAAAGTGATCCTCCCACCTCAGCCTCCGGAGTAGCTGGGACCTGGGACTACAAGCGTCATCATGCCTGGCTATTTATGTTGCCCAGGCTGGTCTTGAACTCATGACCTCAAGCAATCCTCCCTCCTTAGCCTCCCAAAGCATTGGATGATAGGCATGAGCCACTATAACCGGCCTGCTAGAATTATTTAAAGTGAAAAAAAAAGCATTATCCTGCTTTAATAATAATGAAAATTAATGAACAAGAACACGTAAGTATCCTAAACAATTCTAAATGCTAATATGCTATTTATTTAAAAGTTCCAGAAAGGATATTTAAATATTTGTGTTGAAGAAAATATCAAACATACCTTTAGTCATGCACTAATAAACATTGGTTTCTTCTATTTTATCTTATCTCACAATTATCACTTGTTTCTTCTGAACTAATATCCTAGGGGATAGTCATTCATAACCCAGAATGGCATTCGATAGAAGTTTTAAGATAAAGAATTATCTAAATTTAATTTCAAAAACAGTGCAAATCTCTGTATAATCATCATTAGTACTCAAGCAATTTAAGTTTGCCATACATCTTATGAATTATCTCATGCATTACATAGAGTCTATGAATAAGACAATCTACATAACTTCATTTTAATACAAAGTAAGATAAAAATTAATGCATTGAGATTTTAAGATTAGAATATGCCTCAAATCTCCTGATGTCTTTGGACATCAGAAGGTTAAAAAAAAAAAGCAGGAAAGAGGGGATGGACAGAGGTGGTGCTCTGGAGGTTACAATAAGAATAACATTTATTTGATGTGACCATTTATTTGTCCATTTAAAAATAATTTTGAAGGATCTAGTATGTTGTCAGCGATTGGGGATGCAAAGATTAAACAGAGGAACCAGGATTCCGGTTCCAATGGAAGTAATAATTTTCTACTTAGCAGACACATTGATTACAAACCCTTATTCCTTACCCCTAATTCCTTTGTCCTAAAACTGAAACTCGCTGATTAAAGGCACAGTACCTAGTTCTTTCTAGATGTGTTAAAACCATCCTTCAGAGGAGTCCCTGCAAACAAACAAAAGATTTATTCCATTTACTAATTAGGATACGGTGTTTTTAAAGAAACTTATTCTGATGCTTGATGTGGAGTTCAAAGATTTCAAAATGTATTAAAAATTTTGTTAATTCTCTGAAAATAATGATCTCCTTAACTGGTCTGATGAATTCTTCCTCCAATTCATTCTCTCTATTGGTAGCACCAGGCTTACCTTCCAAACTAAGATATCTGATAATATAGATTCCATTTAAGACCATATAAAATAGCCTACTGCTTTCAAATCCATTGGATTTCTGTGTACTATTGAACTGGTGCATCCTGAGCACTCTGATAAGTGTGTGCTACTTGCTCTTCCCCAAGCACATCCTGCTGCTGCTCGTGTCTACCTGCAGTCTATGCAAAGATTTTATCTTCCTCTGATGTTATCTCTTTCTGTGTTCATCCACCAGTCCTATTATCCTAGAGCCCATCTTCTCCAAGAAATATCTGAGTCAATAAACAGAATTAAGTACACATTACCTCATAATTCCCTGGGACATGATTTGAGCCTCATTAACTATTTTCCTTTCATCTTTCTTCCTTCCCTTCCACAACATCTCATTCCATCCAGAATAAATCCAAATTCCAAACTGTGACTTACATGATTGAGTCTTGCAGCAGAAACACGCTAAGGTGGTCCCCAATGAGTCACGTCTTTGCACAACCCTCTTTGTTTGAGTGCAATGAAAACTGTGACTTGTTTGTAACCAATAGAATTTGGCAAAGATGTCACTGTGTAATTACACTATATAAGATCACATTATAGCTGATGGGAGCAAGAGATTCTCCTGCTGGCTTTGAAGAAGTCAGATAGCATGTTATAAAGGGGGCTGTGAGACGTTCATGTGGCAAGGAACTTTGAATGACCTGTAAGAGTTGAGAATGAACTTTGGCTGGAAACCAGTGAAAAATGGATACCTCAGTTATACAAGTGCAAGAAAATGAAACCTGCTGACAACCATGTAAACTAAGCTCCAGAAAAAAAGACACTGGCTAACACCATGATTGCAGCCTTGTGAGACTAAGATTCTGAGCTGAGCATCAGTTAATCTATATCCAGACTCCTTCCCTACAAATACTGTGAGTTAGGTAATAACTGTGTGTTGTTTGAAGCCAGTAAGTTTGTGTAATTGTTAAGCAGAAAAAAAAAAAAAAAAAAACAAGTGCATTAGTCCGTTGACACTATAATAAAAACATACCTGAGACTGGGAATTTATTATAAAGGAAAGAGGTTTAATTGACTCATGATTCTGCATTGCTTGGGGGGCCTCAAAAAACTTACAATCATGTTGGAAGGCACCTCTTCACAGTGCAGCAGAAGGGAGAATGCGTGCCCAGAAAAGGGGGGAGGCCTCTTATAAAACCATCAGATCTCGTGAGAGCTAACTCACTATCATGAGACCAGGATGGGGGAAACTGCCCCCATGATTCAATTATCTCCGCCTGGTCCCTTCCAGGACATGTGGAAATTGTGGAAACTAAAATTCAAGATGAGGTTTGGGTGGGGACACAGCCAAACCAAATCAACAAGCCCTTACCTACTCCTCTACCACTTTTCCTGACCCTCTCCTTTTATATTACTTTGATTTTTTCACTCAGGCTTTTTCTGGTCCCCATTTCATGGATTTTAGACATACAGATCTCTGTGCCTGAAATGCTTTGTCCCCACTCTTCCTGTGGCTGGCTCCTTCAGTCTAAGCCTTTTCTTCTTAAGTGACCTCCTCATTGGTTTTTCTGGCTACTGTATCTAATAGGTGCTCCCTAATCCCATTATGGTTTAGAACCAAATTTGTTTCCTTTATGGCATTCATCAAAATGTATTATAATTGATTTATTTGTTTACTCACATGACTGTTTCCATATCCTCAACTAGAATATAAGATTGTTAAAAGCAAGACAACATATGCATCTTCCGCACTATTGTATATGCAGCACTGAGCTTGGCATTCTTGGGCTCTCAATAAATATGTGCTAGTAGGAGGAATCAAGGATGAGTTGAGATCATGCAGAGTGTTACATATAGCAGTGATAAATTTGTGCTTAAGCTAGGAATAGACAGGATTCAATATACTTTTTAAAATGCCTACTCTGGTGTTGTTTAGAGTTGGGCACTGCCATAGTGGTGGACACATTTAAGATTTATTATTTTGGAGATAGAATCAATAAGACATGATGATGTGGTAAATATAGATAGTGAAGGTATAAGAATAACTTACTTATGAATTTAGATGGATAGGTGGGTAGGTAGATAGAAGATGCCAGGCAAGAGCAAAAATGAATGGTGGAAAATATGATTCACTTCACCGAGGTTGGTGACTGCTTTTGAAAGAGAATATGGGCCGGGCGCAGTGGCTCACGCCTGTAATCCCAGCACTTTGGGAGGCCGAGGTGGGAGGATCACGAGGTCAGGAGATCCAGGCCATCCTGGCTAATACGGTGAAACCCCATCTCTACTAAAAATACAAAAAATTAGCCTGGTGTGGTGGCGGGCACCTGTAGTCCCAGCTACTTGGGAGGCTGAGGCAGGAGAATGGCGTGAACCTGGGAGGCGGAGGTTGCAGTGAGCCAAGATCGCACCATTGCACTCCAGCCTGGGCGACCGAGCGAGACCCCGTCTCAAAAAAAAAAAAAAAAGAAAAAAAAAAAAGACTATGGAGGAAGCAGGTAAAGTGATCTTTCCACTGGGTGGTCAAGAGTGCCATTCAGTGAAAGTCTCAGAGCACAGAAAGAGAATGAGTCTCTATCTTTCCTTATTGTACAGAGATATTTATGCAACTGTCTCTTCAGTTACACTGTGAATTGTTAGAAAGTTATAATTGTTAGCACTGAAACTGTGCATTGCAAACAATAAATGTCCAATAAATTTTCTTTAATTTGAATAGTTGAATTAACATTAGGTCTCCTTTACTCTTAAATTTTTAAAACATTTGCACTTTGAAAAAGAAAGTATTTCACTGGAATTGGGAAAAGCATTATAGTTGGGAGGAAAGAGAAATTAGAAAACAAACAGGGTAGCAAGTTTTGTATACTGCCAGGATGCCTTAGACTGCAATAATAATACTGTAACACAGGTTGAACAATGCAGGTTTGAACTCCACAGATTCATTATACGTGGATTTTCTTTCACCTCTGCCACTCTTAAGACAAGACCAACCCTTCCTATTCTTCCTCCTCCTCAGCCTACCTAATGTGAGGACAAAGAGGATAAAGACCTTAATAATACACTTCCACTTACCGGAGAGTAAATATATTATCTCTTCCTTATAATTTTCTTAATAACAATTTATTTTATTCAGTTGACTTTTCTGTACAAATACAGTATATAATACATATATATTAATTGATAATGTTATCTATAAGGCTCCCCATCAACAGTAGGCTATCAGTACTTAAGTTCTGGGGGATTCAAAGTTATCTGCAGAGTTTTGGCTGTGCAGGAGGTCAGCACCCTAACCCTCTAGTCGCTCAAGGGCCAATTGTATTTTTATAATGTCCCTTGCATTCCTGTCTTCCCCAATATTTAACTTGACTCTTTTATTTGGTAATGTCTTCACATTTTTCTCATTTTATTAAAATTACTTGAATATATAAAAACTCTCAGGTTAAAACCAGGAATTTATAAAGACAACAATAGATTGAGATTGAAAATAAAATGTTTCGTTAATTACCTTGTAGATAGACACCTCCCCACAGTGCATTTGAAACAGAGCCAAAGTGGGTATGGTACAATTTTGAGCTCTATCTTAGAGACATGCTGATTTAAGTAAAATTGACAACAGTCTGCTCTGTAATGACTTCTATTAATTACTAGTTCATAGTCAATAAAACCAATTGTCATACATTGATGTTCTATAGTATATGAATCCTACAAGGTATGTATATATGTGCCTAGAGTTATTCCAACAATTCATAACTTTTTTTTTTTTTTTTTTTTTTTTTTTTTTTTTTTTTTTTTTGAGAGAGAGTTTCACGCTTGTCACCCAGGCTGGAGTGCAATGGCATGATCTCGGCTCACTGCAACCTCTGCCTCCTGGATTCAAGGGATTATCCTGCCTCAGCCTCCCAAGTAGCTGAGATTACAGGCGCCCACCAGCACACCTGGCTAATTTTGTATTTTCAGTAGAGATGGGGTTTCACGGTGTTGGCCAGGCTGGTCTCAAACTGCTGACCTCAGGTCATCCACCCACCTCAGCCTCCCAAAGTTCTGGGATTACAGGTATGAGCCACCGTGCCTGGCCCATAACTCTTCATAACTCGTATATACACACACATTGTAGGAGATATATGTGCCAAAATTATATTGTTGAGATTTGTATGGCTTTCCAAGAAGTTTGAACCTTATCCTACAGGCAATGCAGAATTTGTATGGTTTGTTGTAAAAGGAACTGACATCACCAAAATTATTTTTAATAACTGGCAACAGAGTACACAATATAGACCATATTATTTTTCAGCAATTGTACCAAGACCTAATGCTGTACAATGATCAACTTTGGCATATATTTTATGAAGCATTTTAATTAACTACAGCAGATTAAAAGTTGTTCCTGTGTTCCTATGCTAATAACATCTTCCCACCCTTGCATTATGATATTCTTTCATGGCATCAGAAACGAAGGCCCAGAAATTGCACATGAAACCTGAAGATGAAATATATCTTTGAAAGTGAGGAAAGAATGGAGTTGAATGACTTGAAAGACATTGGACAGGAAGAATTGACACAAATTAGTGAAAATAAAGTTGGAGGAAAGAGGAGCGACCATGACAACAGGAATTCCAGCTTGATTCATGAATTGAGATAGGGAATAAAGTGTCCTCTATTTTGGAGGGGGCAGTAGAGAAATTAATTTTAATCATAATGGATTATCAAGATTTTACTGCTAGAAATGCCAACACTTTCTCACCGAAAATATTTTCACTACTTGGCCTTAGAGGAGTGTGTGAGGTTCCAATACATTTGTATATTTAAGCAGATAAGCTGCTTGTTTTTTTTTAATGGCAAGCAAAGAAATATACATTCAAATGTACTCACTATCTATTGTGTAAACATCAAAGATCAAAAATCTACATCACCTAAATAATATCAATAATATTTAAATGAAGCTTATCATCAATATAATAACTAAAGCCAATGGGACATTTTGGCCAAGTAAAATCAGTGCACATCAGACATAGCCTGATGATCCATAGCTACATTCAGACCGTGATTGGCCTCAGGCTAAGCCCAGAAATGCAAAGCAAAGGTGAGAATTGTAAATAAAAAAACAACTAAGACAAATCAAGGCTAAACATCTTGCTTCAACTACAAAACATTTCAGAAAAAGGCAGATCATAATTTTCTTCTCAAATGTCTCCCAGAACTCATAAGTAAATAGATCACACACTTGAAATACCTAATGAATTTATTTATAAATTATGTAGAGAATTGTTCTCATATTTATACTATGTAAAAGGTAGGTTGTTAAATAACTTTTATTGATATATCTAAACCATAACACGTGTCATCCCTACTGTCATACACATCTATGGCTCTACAGATGTATATGGCAGTTAATTCTATGCATAAAACTTTCCTTTCCTTGACCCAAAGGGTACAATAATGCAGTGCAAAGAATCTAATGTGTTGAAATAAACATTTTTAAAAGCTTGTGCAACATCATGTGGTGCATTTGGAACAGTCATACTTGATTAATCTGAATCAGTTTGCAAGTTTTATTTTTGTGCATTAAATTGTGTCTGAAAATTTGAAATTTAATGGCATATTCTGGCTGGTTGCTATTTAAACACAGCAGGTAAAATACAAATTATGAAAATAGACCATTCATACTTAGACCAAAAGAATATTTTCTTATAAATACTTCATTCACTATTTTCAGATGAAATTTTGCTCAGAAATGATACTATGTGAAATTATTTATCATGATTTTTAGTAACAGGATCTACATTTTATATCCCCTGCTAAAAGAAGCCTATAATCAATGAAACATTACAGATAAAGTAAAGTTTATCTGAAGGTCACTGTCCCCTTGATAGACTGCTTATTGCTGGCAGCAGATCAGTGACTCAGAAAAGTGCTGTGCTGGTGTTCACTTGATACTCTAATGGTGATGCTTCTACCTTGTTTTCATGTTCGATAATGATGCTAATAGAGAATGCGAAGATTCATTAACAAGACCAACCTGAAGAAATGGTTACCTCTCAAAAAAATGTATGATCATGACATTAATGACATTTAGAAAGGTTTAATGGATCCCTGGAATCCTACCTCTGTGAAAAGCCAAACTGCCATTCATTTATTGAGTGAAAGTAAGTGAAAGTCAATCTTTGACAAGGACATAAAAAAAACAGTGAACTTCGTTTAGATGTTAAATGCACTTGTCCTTGAACTCCAACTAGTTCATAAATATTTCCTTTGGCACATTTTTTTTGTTCTCATGTATTTCTCTGTTTATGGTTAATGGCGTAAAACTTTCACTCTTTTAAATGTCAAATTATCATTTCTTATTCATACTTCTTGACAATTGCTACTCTCTAAATACATTATTTAGAGTTATTTGCAGAGTCTAACAAAATTATATAGCTATGATTTTATTACAAGTTATATACAAAGATATGTTTTCTTAAGTCAATTTTTGTTCTTAGCATGGGGTACTGCATGATAACATGCTGTTAGAAGATTATTATGAAACGTCAAACATCTATTATGATCCATATTGCTTTTTATAATAATATATATTTGCTGAACACTATGAGTTTTGTACTCTATGGTATATTATAGTGAGGAGAAGACAGGTTCCTGACCTTGAGGAATCTATCATCAATCTCCTGACTAGGTAGCAGTAAAGGCATATTCTTGTATAAAAGAAAAATAACAAATGAGATGCAGATGGGTAGAAACAATGATTATAACAATGAAAAACATATTATTATAATATGTATGTTCCATGATACCTGAACACAAAAAAAATTCAAAATTTAGACTTTAGTCTTAATTTTTAAAAATTGGAATAAATACTTCTAGATCAGTCCCCAGTCACTTCACTATTGAGAACTACAGGCAGATCTCTATACAAATAAATAACTTTAGACAAAAATTTAGTTTACCAACATTAACTCCATTAAGTCTAGAAGAATTAAAGATGTACATTTTCATAGCTGCAATACAGTTGTAAATGAATTACTTTAGAAAAATAGTATCATAAATGGCTTCACCAACTAATTCTTCCAAACTTTTAAAGACAAGTTAGAATATGAAAAATGATTAAAAATATTTAAGTTCATTTATGAAGCAAGAATGATATTGTTCTATAACCTGTTAAAGATAGTTAACAAAGGAAATCATGGACTAATATTTCTTGTAAGTATTGCAGTTTTAAAATGAAATATTAGAGAGTAGACTCCAATACCACCAGTAATACACCATGTCTGTTATGGGCTGAATGTTTGTGTTCCCCTAAAATTCACATGTTGAAGCCCTACCACTCAACATGATAGTATTTCAGGATGGGGCTTTTAAGAGATAATTAAGGTTAGATGAAATCACAAGAGTAAGGCCCTGGTCTGGCAGAATTAATGTCCATATAAGAAGAGACACCAGAGAGTTTGCTCCTGCTCTCACAGGAAGACAGCCTTTACCCAGAAGCAAATTATCTGGTATCTTGATCTTAGACTACCCAGCCTCTAGAACTGTGAGAAAAAACAATTATGTTTTTTTTCAGCTACCCAATCTGTGATATTTTGTTATGGCAGCCTGAGCAAACTAACACAGATTTTGGTACAGAGAATTTGGGTGCTGTTATAGGACATACCTAAAAATGTAAGAGTGGCTTTGGAAATAGGTGTTTGGAAATAGGCAGTGATTCTCCTGCCTCTTGGAAATAGGTAACAGGTAGAGGATGGAGGAGGTAAGAAGTGTATGCTATAAAATGCCTGGATTGTATTGTTGGTAAGAAATACGAATGTTAAAGGAGATTTCAGTAAAGACTCAGACAGAAAAGAGGAGAGCTGGAGAGAAAGCTTCCAGCTTTTTAAAGAATACATAAATAGTCATGAACAGAATGTTGGCAGAAATGTGGACATTAAAGGTCATTCTGGTGAGGTCTCAGGAAAAAAAAAGTTATTGGAAACTGGAGAAAAGACAGTCCTTGTTATAAAGTCGCAGAAAACTTGGCTGAACTGTGTTCAAATGTTTTGTAGAAGGTAGAACGTGCAAGCAGTGAAATATGATATTTAGCTGAGGAGATTTCTAAGCAAAGTGTTCAAGGATTAGCTTGGTTTCCCCTGAGTGCTTATAATATAAAAGGCAAGAGGAGAGAGACAATTGGAGAAAATACTGCTAGGGTAAAAAGGAATCAGATCTTGAAGATTTGGAAAATTTATGGCCTATCTACATTGAAAAAATGAGAAATCTTGTTCTTAAAAGAACACTAGGGTTGTGACTGAACAATCATTTGATGAATAGATCATGGGTTCACCTCATGGGCTTAATCAGCCATCTCAGAAGAATCCAGGAATAGAGAGAGGATTATACCAGCAGAGACACTGACAGTTTCAATTACAGGGAAGAGAAAAAACAAAACTGAATGAAAGGTTGCCAGATTTCTTGGATTCTACAAGACTGAACCATATAGTTATTTGGCTATGATATGGTTTGGCTGTGTCCCCACCCAAATCTCATCTTGAATTGTAGCTCCCATAATTCCCACATGTCATGGAAGGGACCTCGGGGCTGGTAATTCAATCAAGGGGCGGGTCTTTCCCTTGCTGTTCTCAAGATAGTGAATAAGTCTCATGAGTTCTGTTGGCTTTATAAAAGGGAGTTCCCCTACACAAGCTCTCTTGCCTACTGCCATGTAAGACGTGACTTTGCTCCTCATTAGCCTTCAGCCATGATTGTGGGGCCTCCGCAACCATGTGGAACTGTGAGTCAGTTAAACCTCTTTCCTTTATAAATAACCCATTCTTGAGTATGTCTTTATTAGCAGTGTGAGTACAGACTAGTACAGGCTATAAATGTGTGATATTCTTTAAGTAAAGGGAAGAATGGCCCAAAGGGATTTAGAGATCAAGACAGCAACTCCTACCAAAGGCCGATGGAGAAAGGCTTTCTTTTGGGGCTGCAGAGAGTAGGGCCACCAAAGAGAGACCTGTGGGCAGAGTTCGCTCTCCTAGCAAAACAAAATAAGGCCACCCCACAGAGCCATGGGGCTGATGCTGCCACCCCAGTAGGCCTGGAGGGCAGAACATTGAACCAAATAAAATTATTCTTAAGACTTAAAATCTAATGCAGTTTTCCTTGCTAAGCTCTGAACTTATTTGGGAATCATCACCTTTCCTTCCTTCTTATTTAGCCCTTTTGGCATGGGAATGTTTGCCTTAGCTCTGTCCTACTTTGTATTTTAGAAGTACACAACATGTCTGCTCTCACAGGTTCACAACTGGAGACAAATTTTGCCTAAGGATGAACTGTACTTTCAGTCTTATCCATATTTAGATGAATGGTATTCAGATAAGAATTTGGACTTTAGACTTTAGAGTTGATGCTGGAATGAGTTAAGTCTTTTGAGAGAGGTGGAATGAATGTATTTTGTATGCAATAAATACATAAATTTGGGGGAGGAAGAAGGGGCAAAATATTATGGAATGTAGGTTTGTATCCCCCAAATTCATATGTTGGAGCTCTAATCCCCAATGTGACTGTATTTGGAGATAGGATCTTTATAAAAATAGAGTTTACAAGCTCATAAGGGTAGAAGTCATGATCCCATAGGATTAGTATCCTCATAAGAAGAGACACTAGAGAGATCATTGTCTCTTCACATGTGCACAAACAAGAGACCAAGTAAGTACACAAGAAGAGCATGGCTGCCTACATGCCAAGAGACGAGACTTCAGAATGAAATCTACCTTGCTGGCACCTTGATCTTGGACTTCTCAGTCCCCAGAACTGTGAGAAACATATTTCTGGGTTGTTTAAGCCACTCAGTCTATGGTATTTTGTTATGGTTGCCTGCACAGACTAATACAAAGTTGGGATGGGATTTATACCAGCCATGTGAATGTGGTTTAATATTAATCAGAATATTTAATAACATTCAAGAAATTAATAGGCATAAGAAGAAAAAACATGTTTCTCTCCATTGATGCTGAAAATTCAACATCTATTTATCATAAAAGTACTCAAATTATAAATGGATGGTACTATTCAATGTTATAAAAACATAATTCTAAAGCCAGTTTCTTACTTAATCAGGAGGCACAAAAGGCTTTTCCATTATGGTCGGGAACAAGAATGATCACAATATCCACTTCTATGTAATGTTATATTAAAAGTGTCAGCCAATGCAATTAAAACAGTAAAAAGTAAGTAAATAAATGAGAATTAAAGCAGCAGAACTTTCTTTATCAGCAGATGATATGATAATGCACCTGGAAAACCCAGAGAAACAATGATAAATCCAAAGTATAAAAGAATTTAGTAAGGAAATAGGATCAAAAATTACAGACAAAACCCAGTACCCTATATATACAAACAATAACAGGTTTGAAGATGTGATGAAAGAGAAAATTATATTAACAGTAGCAATATAAAAATACTTAGAAAAAATTAGCTATCAAGAAATTGCAAAACTATATACAGAAAAGTTAAAACCCTCCTGAAAAGCACAAAAGTAGCCTTGAAACTAATAAAAAGATATCCCTTGTTCTTGGATAAAAATAATTCAAAATTATGCAGATGTGAGTTCTCCCCCTAAGTTAATTAATAGATTTAATTTAATCCCAACAAAAATATCATCAGTTTTTTAATCTGCACAAGTTGATTTTTAAAAGTCATCATTCAGGAATAGCTAAGAAGGCACTGAAAAAGATATGAGAGAGGAATAGCTGCACATATTAAAACAAGCTACAAAGCCTCTCTAAATAGCATGGAACTGGTACCTAAGAAGGCAGATTGACCGGTGGAATAGAATAGAAAGTCTAGTAATAAACTACAGGTGAAAATTTAGTAATTGATAAAGTTAGATAGTATCAAAAATTACAGCTGCAAAGATAGACCTTTTAAGAAATGGGGTTGTATCAACTGGATATTCATTGGGTAGGAAAAAAAATAGTTTGATACCTTACCATACAAAGAATAAACTCAAAATTATCAGAAAATATAATTGTGAAAAAAAGGAACCATGAAAGTACTAGAAGAAAATGTGGAGAATTACTCTACAGCCTGGATGTTAGAAAAGTCTTTTTAACTATGTCGCAAATCTACATGCAATTAAAGAAAGAAAACTTTGACTATGTAAAAATAGAACACAAATCAAATTAAGACAAGAATATTTTTGTATGACAAAATACTAAATCAGAGTTAAAAGACAAATGGGAGAAAATATTTGATGAATAGAAAATATAGTCTGTTGGCTGGGTGCAGTGGCTCACGTCTGTAATCCCAGCACTTTGGGAGGGAGGCCAAGGCAGGTGGATCACTTGAGGTTGGGGTTCGAGATCATCATGGTGAAACCCCGTCTCTACTAAATATACAAATTACAATTAAAAATACAATTAGCTGGGCATGGTGGCAGGCGCCTGTAATCCTAGCTACTTGGGAGGCTGAGGCAGGAGAATCACTTAAACCTGGAAAGCAGAGGTTGCAGTGAGCCACTGAGATCATGCCACTGCACTCCAGTCTGGGTGACAGAGAGAGGCTCTGTCTCAAAAAAAAAAAAAAGAAAACAAAATGTAGTCTGTTGAATTAGTCTCTTGTTAAACGGATTATAAGTTTCATGAAGGCAGTGGCAGTGAATATCTTGTTCATTATTAATTTCACAGAGTTTTACATGTTACCTAAAATATAGTAAGTGCTTTTTCAATATTTGATAGGAGTGCTTCTTGAAGTAGGAGCTATAAGAGAGTGGTACACAGGAAATAATCAGTGGAGGAGTATCCTTGAAGATAAACGGATGGTATGCAAAATTGAAGCAGAGAAACTATTCTAAAATTAAAAGTGGGGATATTTTATACCATTGTGGTAGGATGGAAATGATAAAATAAGATGTAAATGCAGCAAAATGTTAAAATAGAACGTCAGAAAATGAAGAAATTTTCCATCTGTTGGCTTTGTTTTCCTTTATAAAGTAGGAGGACAGGTAGCATGATGAGTGTGAAGGATGATGTGGGAAGTAGGAACTTGGAACAGAGTGGAGAAGGTTTGAAATAGTCGCTGTGAAGAACCAGTCAAGAGATGACTAAGAAGAGCTCTAGGCAACACTAACACAATAATTTATGGAAACCAAAATGAAGTAGCAACAATCTGCCTTAGTGTAGGATTTTCCACAGACACCATGTGTGAGACAAGAGAAAAGGGACAATTAGTTTGACAGAGGATTGAGATGTTTTGGGGAAAGTAAGACAGAAGGACAATGAGGCAGTTATCAGTCCTTCTTGCACTGCTGTAAAGTTATTAGTCCTTTGTTATTAGTCCTTTCTTGCACTGATAAAAAGAAATACCTATAACTGGGTAATTTAGAAAGAAAAGAGGTTTAATTGGCTAATGGTTCTGCAGGCTGTATGGGAAGCATAGTGGCTTCTACTTTTGGGCAGGCCTCAGGAAGCTTCCAATTATGGTGGAAGGCAAAGCGGGAGAGAGGCCTCTCACATGGTGGGAGTGGGAGCGAGTTAGAGGGGGGAGTTGCTACATACTTTTAAATGACCAGATCATGTGAGAACTCACCATTGTGAGGACAGTACCAAGGAGATGGTACTAAACCATTAATGAGAAACTGCCCCCATGATCCAATCACCTCCCATCAGGCCCCACCTCCAACAATGGGGATTACAATTTGACATGAGATTTGGGTGGGGACGCAGATCCAAGCCATATCAGGCAGAGAATTGAGAACAAATTCTATTTTGTTAAACTGTATGAAATGTCTGACATTTAACCATTTTTGAAATGGATATTTTTATAATTTACTATCTATAATATGAGTCACGGAATAGAAACCTGAAACAGAGTTGGGGTAAAGGTCGATGGAATAGAGACTATCAAGTGAATGACTTTTTGGGGATATTAGGCTTTATTCATATGAATGTTGAACTTAAATAGGTTTTGATAAAAGAAGGGACTTGACTGAGATTGAAACAAAAAAAAAGGAATATGATTTAACCAACTGACATGAGTATCAAGAGGGATATTTTAATACAAGATGAAGGAATAATGTAGAAATGGCACGGGGAGAGAATGTGTTAACTGCACCTCACAACTCCAAAAGCTATGGACTGTGGGAGAAGAACCATCATCCTGTAGGTAGTTTGACCATTGTGGTGTGTTGAACTATGTCCCTCAAAAATCCATTCCGACCTGAACTTCACAATGTAACCTTATTTGGACTAAGGCTCTTGGCAGATGTAATTAAAGATCAAGGTAAGATCATATGGGATTAAAATGACTCTGACATTTAGTGTAAGCCCTAACAAGAGATAGAGTAGGAGAAGAGAGTGACACAGTTAAGTAGGCAATGTGACAATATGGGCAGAGATCGGAGTGATGTATCTAAAAGTCAAGGTACAGCAAAGAATTGTTGGCAACCACAAGAAGCTAGGAGAGAAACATGAGATTTCTTCTCCC
This sequence comes from Homo sapiens, assembly GCF_000001405.40. Taxonomy (NCBI): domain Eukaryota; kingdom Metazoa; phylum Chordata; class Mammalia; order Primates; family Hominidae; genus Homo; species Homo sapiens. Next base: position 76,248,949 of record NC_000013.11, on the reverse strand, counting down.
TCAGAGCCTCTGAAAGGAAGGAAACCTGCTGACATCTTGACTGCAGACTTCTAGTTTCCTCAACTATATGTGAATACATTTCTGTTACCTTGAACCACTCATTTATGGTCATTTCTTATGGCAGCCCCAGGAAACTATTATGGACATACATCCTGGTTTGTTCAGGGCAGTCCCAGTCCCAGTTTACCCCTAATCTCATATTGTAATTACTAATGGTTTTATCTATTTACTCTAAAAAATATCCCAGTTTGGACAATACATGATGGAATCATGTCAGCTTTTAGGGAGGTGTAAACAGGAAAGGAAGCAGTTTTCAGCTAATGAAATAAAGTGTATGGAATGTTTACTAAAAAGTTTGAGTATCTATGGGGTTATATTTAATACGAAATGAAGTTCCAGAGGAATTGTGCAGTTTTGAAAGGGAGAGAGATGGTCGGCAGCTGGATCAGCAGATGCCAGCATCGTGCAGTGCAATTAGGATAACATGGGGAAAGGTATATAGTTTTCACAGGAACGGGATATATGGTGGGTTTATCATTGATAAATGCAGGTCCCTGATGTCAGGAGTAGGATTCTCTGGTCTTAGGAAGTAGCCTATCCAGCACATTTGCTATTCAGGGAGTTAGACTCTAGATGAACAGACCAGCAAATCAGTATTTCAATAGAGGCCAGAACTCTGGACTGGAAGTGCTATAGAAGGAGTACTTTTGATGGTGCTGTTGAAGGAGGTGGAGGCCAGCTGGGTGGGCCAGCATCAAACTACTTTGAACTAAGGATGTTTCTCTTTAATGAAGAAGAGAAGACTTGAAATGGCATAATAAATATCTAAAAATATTCAAAGGCATCTTACATGGAAGAGGCTTCAAAAAGAAAACCAGAATCAATTTAGAAAAACTATAAGTATAAAGAGTTTTGCCTAATATGAAGAATTTTATATCAGAATTCAGAGTCAAGCAATGGGGTAAACTGCTCCCAGATTTAGTAAACTTTCCACTACATGGAGAGTTTTTTTTTTTCAGGTGGCCACATCAACAAATATTGTGAAAGAGTTGGTTGAGATATATATAAACACTTGAAGAAGGGGTAATGGACAAGATAAGTGCAGCATTCCTAAAAGAAGTAAGTAAAACTGTCAGAAAAAGCATATGGATAGAACCACAAAACAACGAGGGTATTTTTGTTGAGCCAAAAATCTGGAGGAGCAACATGGAGGATGAGAAACAACTGGTCAGCATGGTTAATAGAGATGCACTTGTGTGGAACTTCAGGTCACAGATGACCAGTGTTTGGGGATCTCTGAAGTACCCAGTAGAGTCTCTGAAAAGAAAGAACAACCTACCTTAGAACTAGTTCACATAAGATAATATAAATTAGAGCAGATCTCATCAGTTTAGCCTACAGTTTTGTCTAGCAGTGTTTAATCTTCTGCAGCATCAAGGGCAACCTCATCTTTTAAAAGTCTACTACATTTGAGTCATGGGGTCATCTTTTCCTCATTCTTCAAATATAATCTATTTTAAGTTTAAAAATACTACCTTTATGTATTTACTCAGATAGGTTTTAATTCCAGCTGTCCCTTCACATTGCACCCTGTTAGACTGATGTCTTGAGCAAATAAAGAATATGTGCTCAATAATTTGGATTCTAAATCTGCCAAATAGAATTCAAAGTACCATGTGTATTATAAAGTACTTGAGCTTTTGCTATTATATAATAGTAAATAGTTGAACTGTATGTGATAAATGACACAACTTTGCCCTTGTTCTATTAATTGATTTAATCTAGAGCCTTGTTTAGTAACTTGTTCTAATGAAAGTGTCATAATTTTTATTGATGAGTAAATCTTTGTTTATATTTAACTATGATCCAGAAAACAAGCCCTATATAAACAAATTCATTGATTTTCATTTGTCATTTATTCATTCAAAAATATCTTTCTGAGCATTAGTAATGTGCCAGGCAGTATTTTAAACACTGTGGTGAAAACAAACAAATAAATAAATAAACAGGTGCTCATTCCTATAATCCCAGCTACTCAGGAAACTGAGGGAGAATTGCTTGAGTCCAGGAGTTTGAGTTTGCAATGAGCTATGATTACGCCATTGCACTTCAGCTTGGTTGACAGGGAGAGGGACCCTGTCTGGAAAAAAAAAAAAAAGAGGAGAAGGAAAGAGGAAGAATAGGAAAAGGAGGAAGAGGAAAAAGAAGAAGAAGAAAAAGAAGGGGAAGGGGAAGAAGAAAAGGAAGAGGAGGAGGAGGAGGAAGAAGAAGAAGAAGAAGTTGTTCTTCTGTGTGCTCATGGAGATGTCTTATGTTTTACATCCTAGTGAAGAGAGACACGCAATAAACATAAAAATAATTAAACAAGACAATTTTAACTAGGAAAAAATTATGGATTGGATAAGGACTGGATGAATCTGTTTTACATTGAATGGTCCAAAAATACCTCTTATAGAGGAGGACAGTATAGAGCTGAAACCTGATGATTAAGAAGCAAACATGTGATAGAGAATTGCAAATGCTAAAACCCTAAGGTGGGAGAAATGCTTTGTTTGAACATAGAAAGGAATTATGTCAGATTAAAAAGCAGAGCCAGATTACAATATTCCTTTAGTTTTCTATGTGTTCTGGATTTTGGTGGTCAGCAAAGGTATTGTATGTATATTTTGTCTAGATAATACTAATGTGTAGGACAAGTTTTAGAACTAATAAGGCATGTAAAACAATCATGAGGGATTCACTTCAGGAAGATCTGTGAACACTGTACTAAACATAAACCTGTATTACAGACAGGAACAGACTCCAGGTTTTGCCCCAGTGAGTACTCTTGTGTCGAGTTAAGCAGCCTGACCTCTTTGTCATTATGTAATCAGTCTGCACATATGTAAGGCAGCAAAATAAATGTTCCCAAATTATTCCACACTTTCACTTGAAATCAGTGCTTGTTTTAAGCTGAGCTTATTGCTAGAAGGGGCTCCTTTATCTTACAAAATTAAGGAAGACTGTTTACAAAGGTTTTTTAAAAAGTGGAGAATTAGTTTTATCCAGAGAATTGATTCAGCAGAAAGATCCCATCTAGGTTATTTATACGAAAAGCCCAGTTTCTCAAATGATGTTTGTCAATGCTTCACTTGCTTTTGTAGATGTAATAATCAGTATATAGTCATTTAAACTAGAACTATTTTATATTTGTTTCTTCATATTACCAAATAGATGAATTTTTTAAACGTTTGGTAGAAGTATAAATACATTTACGCATAGTTTTCAAATCATGAAATGTTTAGGAACCTCTAAATAATAACCTATACAATTTTATTTTCACATGTCATAATCTGTGTTTATAACTTTAGTGTCTGGATGACATAAAATAATCGTATAATGACAGAGAACTTAATATGAAATACAAACTGTTAGTATTTCCCATAATAGAGAGAAGCTATTTAGTTGGCATCTGCCATAGTCAGGGTTCTCTGGAGGGACAGAATAGAACAGATGTAGATATAAAGGGAAGTTTATTAAGGAGTATTGACTCACAGGGATCACAAGGTGAGGTCCCATGACAGGCCATCTGTAAGCTGAAGAGCAAGGAAGCCAGTCTGTGTCCCAAAGCTGAAGAACTTGGAGTCCAATGTTCGAGGGCAGGAAGCATCCAGCACGGAAGAAAGATAGAAACCAGAAGAGTAAACCAGTCTAGTCTTTCCACGCTCTTCTGCCTGCTTTTAATCTGGTTGAGCTGGCAGCTGATTAAATTGTGCCCACCCAGATTGAGGGTGGGTCTGCCTTTCCCAGTCCACTGACTCAAATGTTCATCTACTTTGGCAAACCCCCCCCCCAGATACACCCAGCAACAATATTTTGCATCCTTCAATCAAGTTGACACTCAATATTAAGCATCAGAGGATCATAACATGACCATGCTACAATCTGAATGAATTATCAGTTTTCATAAGGTTTTGAAACTTTCCTAAAGGAAATGCTCTTGAAACGTACTTGGATGAAATGTATTTCATATTAACTCTTAGGATTTCTTTTCTTCCATTGGATTTATAAGCCAGCAAATCACCTAATAATTTTTTTCTCATTTTATGTATATTATTGTTAACATTTCAGCATAAAAATTTTAAAGTAGAGAGAATAGTAAAATGAACCTCTTCAGTTTCCACAATCAACAATGCCTTCCAAATGTTTTTTCATATATATCTACACATACGTAACCTTCCCATCCTCCACTGAGTTATGCTGAAACAAATCGCAGAAATCATATGGTCGTATATGTAAAGTTAGCATTTTTCTTAAATTGTTGAAATTTGCAAACAGCGAATATTCAAGATAATATTATTCAACAATTTTCCTTGCGATGCTGCATTTTTTCTCATAATTTTTAGGATGTTTAGGTAAGGATTAAAAAGTGAAATGTGTCTTCAATATCTTTTTCTGAGTTTAGTGAAGTATAAAGAGAAAACCCAAACAATTTTCCCTCTAGCATTAAACATTGCATTTTAATTAAAATCACACAGATAAAGTAATCAAAGTATATCCTAGCACAATGCTTCTGTTGAAGGTATGAAGCTTTACTGTTGATAAATTGCTATGTGGGCAATCCACTGCTAATAATTAAAAGTTAACTACATTTAAGAAAACAGTGATAAGAATTGGTAGTGCTTATATTTTAAGACATTGCATTGGATTTAAATGCTGCTTTAAAAAGTTTTTACTTTGTCTAACTAGGGGATATGTGCTTAAATAATTCTTAATGCTTTTTTTTAAATGCAATGCAATAATGTTACATATGTAGAGTTTTACTGTATCCTATGAATTTTCTTCTATAAACCTCAAAATAATGTCAGTAAGTAGCTTAGGGAAATGAAATGATTTTCCCAAACTCATGTAGTTGATAGGTGGAAGAGCTGGTGCAGTACTAACATACATGCAAATAATTGTTTTCCTTTTAAGTTCAATATCATACTGATGCTACAGATGTTTAAACAATAAAAAAGAATCCTTTGGAGGAGGAGAGGAGCTCTGATTTTTAGAGTTTCTAGTTTTTCTGCTCTGTTTTTTCCCCATCTTTGTGGTTTTATCTACCTTTGGTCTTTGGTGATGGTGACATACAGATGGGGTTTTGGTGTGGCTGTCCTTTCTGTTTGTTAGTTTTTCTTCTAACAGTCAGGACCCTCAGCTGCAGGTCTGTTGGAGTTTGCTGGAGGTCCACTCCAGACCCTGTTTGCCTGGGTTATCAGCAGCGGAGGCTGCAGAACAGCGGATATTGGTGAGCAGCAAATATTGCTGCCTGATCGTTCCTCTGGAAGTTTTGTCTCAGAGGAGTACCTGGCCGTGTAAAGTGTCAGTCTGCCCCTACTGGGGGATGCCTCCCAGTTAGGCTACTCAGGGATCAGGGACCCACTTGAGGAGGCAGTCTGTCCGTTCTCAGATCTCCAGCTGCGTGCTGGGAGAACCACTACTCTCTTCAAAGCTGTCAGACAGGGACATTTAAGTCTGCAGAGGATTCTGCTGCCTTTTGTTTGGCTATTCCCTGTCCCCAGAGGTGGAGTCTACAGAGACAGGCAGGCCTCCTTGAGCTGCTGTGGGCTCCACCCAGTTCGAGCTTCCCAGCCACTTTGTTTACCTACTCAATGGCGGGCGCCCCTCCCCCAGCCTCGCTGCAGCCTTGCAGTTTGATCTCAGACTGCTGTGCTAGCAATGAGTGAGGCTCCATGGGCTTAGGACCCTCCGAGCCAGGAGCAGGATATAAATTCCTGGTGTGCCGATAAGACCATTGGAAAAACACAGTATTAGGGTGGGAGTGACCCGATTTTCCAGGTGCCATCCATTACCCCTTTCTTTGACTAGGAAAGGGAATTCCCTGACCCCTTGCACTTCCTGGGTGAGGCGATGCCTCGCCCTGCTTCGGCTCATGCTGGGTGCGCTGCACCCACTGTCCTGCACCCACTTTCCTACACTCCCCAGTGAGATGAGCCCAGTACCTCAGTTGGAAATGCAGAAATCACCCATCTTCTGCATCGCTCATGCTGGGAGCTCTAGACTGGAGCTGTTCCTATTCGGCCATCTGGGACACATTCAAAGCAGTGTGTAGAGGGAAATTTATAGTACTAAGTGCCCACAAGAGAAAGCAGGAAAGATCTAAAATTGACACCCTAACATCACAATTAAAAGAACTAGAGAAGCAAGAGCAAACACATTCAAAAGCTAGCAGAAGGCAAGAAATAACTAAGATCAGAGCAGAACTGAAGGAAAGAGAGACACAAACAAAAAACTTCAAAAAAAATCAATGAATCCAGGAGCTGGTTTTTTGAAAAGATCAACAAAATTGATAGACTGCTAGCAAGACTAATAAAGAAGAAAAGAGAGAAGAATCAAATAGACACAATAAAAAATGATAAAGGGGATATCACTACCGATCCCACAGAAATACAAACTACCATCAGAGAATACTATAAACACCTCTACACAAATAAACTAGAAAATCTACAAGAAATGGATAAATTCCTGGACACATACACCCTCCCAAGACTAAACCAGGAAGAAGTTGAATCTCTGAATAGACCAATAACAGGCTCTGAAATTGAGGCAATAATTACTAGCTTACCAACCAAAAAAAGTCCAGGACCAGACAGATTCACAGCCAAATTCTACCAGAGGTACAAGGAGGAGCTGGTACCATTCCTTCTGAAACTATTCCAATCAATAGAAAAAGAGGGAATCCTCCCTAACTCATTTTATGAGGCCAGCATCATCCTGAAACCAAAGCCTGACAGAGAAACAACAAAAAAAGAGAATTTTAGACCAATATCCCTGATGAACATCGCTGCAAAAATCCTCAGTAAAATACTGGCAAACCGAATCCAGCAGCACATCAAAAAGCTTATCCACCATGATCAAGTGGGCTTCATCCCTGGGATGCAAGGCTGGTTCAACATACGCAAATCAATAAACATAATCCAGCATATAAACAGAACCAACAACAAAAACCATATGATTATCTCAATAGATGCAGAAAAGACCTTTGACAAAATTCAACAAACTTCATGCTAAAAACTCTCAATAAATTAGGTATTGATGGGACGTATCTCAAAATCGTAAGAGCTATCTATGACAAACCCACAGCCAATATCATACTGAATGGGCAAAAACTGGAAGCATTCCTTTGAAAACTGGCACAAGACAGGGATGCCCTCTTTCACCGCTCCTATTCAACATAGTGTTGGAAGTTCTGGCCAGGGCAATCAGGCAGGAGGAGGAAATAAAGGGTATTCAATTAGGAAAAGAGGAAGTCAAATTGTCCCAGTTTGCAGATGACATGATTGTATATCTAGAAAACCCCATTGTCTCAGCCCAAAATCTCCTTAAGCTGATAGGCAACTTCAGCAAAGTCTCAGGATACAAAATCAATGTGCAAAAATCACAAGCATTCTTATACACCAATAACAGACAGAGAGCCAAATCATGAGTGAACTCCCATTCAAATTGCTTCAAAGAGAATAAAATACCTAGGAATCCAACTTACAAGGGACGTGAAGGACCTCTTCAAGGAGAACTACAAACCACTGCTCAGTGAAATAAAAGAGGATACAAACAAATAGAAGAATATTTCATGCTCATGGGTAGGAAGAATCAATATCATAAAAATGGCCATACTGCCCAAGATAATTTATAGATTCAGTGCCATCCCCATCAAGCTACCAATGACTTTCTTCACAGAATTGGAAAAAACTACTTTAAAGTTCATATGGAACCAAAAAAGAGACCGCACTGCCAAGTCAATCCTAAGCCAAAAGAACAAAGCTGGAGGCATCACGCTCCCTGACTTGAAACTGTACTACAAGGCTACAGTAACCAAAACAGCATGGTACTGGTGCCAAAACAGAGATATAGACCAATGGAACAGAACAGAGCTGTCAGAAATAATGCCGCATATCTACAACCATCTGATCTTTGAAAAACCTGACAAAAACAAGAGGTGGGGAAAGGATTCCCTATTTAATAAATGGTGCTGGGAAAACTGGCTAACCACATGCACAAAGCTGAAACTGGATCCTTTCCTTACACCTTATACAAAAATTAATTCAAGATGGATTAAAGACTTAAATGTTAGACCTGAAACCATAAAAACCCTAGAAGAAAACCTAGGCAATACCATTCAGGACATAGTCATGGGCAAGGACTTCAAGTCTAAAACACCAAAAGCAATGGCAACAAAAGCCAAAATTGACAAATGGGATCTAATTAAACTGAAGAGCTTCTGCACAGCAAAAGAAACTACCATAGAGTGACCAGGCAACCTACAGAATGGGAGAAAATTGTTGCAATCTACTCATCTGACAGAGGGCTAATATCCAGAATCTACAATGAACTCAAATACATTTACAAGAAAAAAACAAACAACCTCACCAAAAAGTGGGAGAAGGATATGAAAAGACACTTCTCAAAAGAAGATATTTATGCAGCCAAAAGACACATGAAAAAATTCTCATCATCACTGGCCATCAGAGAAATGCAAATCAAAACCACAATGAGATACCATCTCACACCAGTTAGAATGGCGATCATTCAAAAGTCAGGAGACAACAAGTGCTGGAGAGCATGTGGAGAAATAGGAACACTTTTACACTGTTGGTGGGACTGTAAACTAGTTCAACCATTGTGGAAGTCAGTGTGGCAATTCCTTAGGGATCTAGAACTAGAAATATCATTTGACCCAGCCATCCCATTACTGGGTATATACCCAAATGATTATAAACCATGCTGCTATAAAGACACATGCACACGTATGTTTATCACGGCACTATTCACAATAGCAAAGACTTGGAACCAAGCCAAATGTCTAACAATGATAGACTGGATTAAGAAAATGTGGCACATATACATCATGGAATACTATGCAGCCATAAAAGTGATGAGTTCATGTCCTTTGTAGGGACATGGATGAAGCTGGAAACCATCATTTTCAGCAAACTATCTCAAGGACAAAAAAACCAAACACCGCAGGTTCTCACTCATAGGTGGGAACTGAACGATGAGAACACATGGACACAGGAAGGGGAACATCACACACCAGGGCCTGTTGTGGGGTGGGGGAAGGGGGGAGGGATAGCATTAGGAGATACACCTAATGTTAAATGACGAGTTAATGGGTGCAGCACACCAACATGGCACATGTATACATATGTAAGAGACCTGCACATTGTGCACATGTACCCTAAAACTTAAAGTATAAAAAAAAAAAAGAATCCAACACTCTTTAAGCTTTAACTGTTTCCCAGGGACACGACTTTTCTGAGTAGTTTGCTATGATCGTGAATGGTGGTGTCTTTGTGCTAAAACAATTCACGAAACCCACTATTCTGCAAGAATTATGGGATTCCTTTTTAAATTTTGCAAATGGATTCCTGTAGCACTATCTTTTATGGAATTCCAAAGTCAGAACTGCCTGAGTGGCAGCTCATTTTTATTTATAGTTACTTAACTAACACAAATTCCAGACACTAGACTTAGTGAAACATGTAGACACAAATAACTTTTTCCTAATTGGCCACCACAAAGTCACCTCTTAATCAATTCTCAATTTCACATTGAAGACTCAAAAATATCTTCCCACAAAATCTTAGTATTTTGCTTTCACTATTATGTTCCCATATCATCTCCAATTTCAGTAATATGAGTGTTTTGGGAAATCATTGCCCTGTTATTTCATAAGTGTTCTAAATTTTCTTGGGTCAAATTTCAGAAAATTGATACTATGATATTCAGTTACGAGCTTGCAATTTAATGTTCCAGACCATGGTTTCAGAAGCTTCCAATCACTGACCAATTATTATAAAATAACCCATAGTCATGCATGAGGTTTTTCTTTATTTCTTATTTTTCATTTCTATAATCTTCCTCATTTTTTTGAGCCTTTGAGGCTATTGGAAGCCATAAGAAAAAAGTGTACTCAAATAGTTACACACACACACACACACACACACACACACACACACACACACACACTAGGTCCAATGAAATTTGATTTTAAAAAAAAATCTAAAATAGCTCCAGAATTTCCCAAAATGCTACTTTGGACTTGAACACAAATAATGTCAGCTTCTTATTTTACATATTGCAAAAGACCTGCAATGACATGCCCTGCCTACACTGTAGACAAACAAGGATCATTGCTCCTTAATTTTGATAAACATCACAAATTGATTTTGAATAATAGCCTTTTTAGATTAATATTACAATTAGTTGACATTCCCTGTCACACACATCAACTGACAGCACAGAAAATATGTCAAGGAACATTCAGAGCACCTGGAAGAAGGCAAACTTAGATCCTAAAAATAGTTACAGGTAACCCAACAAGAGTCATGAAAATGCAATATAGAATTGTAGGAAGCTGAAGGGCTTTTGAGCACTGCTGTTTCAATTTATAGATGGCTGAACTGAGGCTCCTTAACCTAGATAACTTGTGCCAGGAAACAACCTGAGACATCTTACCTGGTTTAATGTCATAATATAGTTTAGTATCATAGAAAATACTCAAATCTAACATTATTTATTGTTTGTAAATTCTTTTTTCTTTTTTATTTTTGTGGGTACATAGTAGGTGTATATATTTGTTGCATATATGAGATGATTTGACACAGACAGGCAATGCGTAATAACCACATCATTGGAAATAGGGTATCCATTCCCTCAAGCACTCATTCTTTGCGTGGCAACCAATCCAGTTATACTCTTTCAGTTACTATAAAATGTACAATTAAGTTATTATTGACTATAGTCACCTTGTTGTGCCATCAAATACTAGGTCTTATTCATTCTTTCTATTTTTTGTACTTATTAACAATCCCCAACTTGCCCTAAGCCCCCCCAACTCCAGACACACTACCCTTCCCATCCTCTGGTAACCATGATTCTACTGTCTATCTCCATGAATTCAATTGTTTTGATTTTTAGATCCCACAAATAAGTGAGAACATGCAATGTTTGTCATTCTGTGCCTGGCTTATTTCACTTAACATAATGATCTCTAGTTCCATCCATATTGTTGCAAGTGACAGGATCTCATTATTTTTTCTGGCTGAAGAATACTCCATGGTATATATGTACCACACTTTCTTCATCCACTCATCTGTTGATGGACAAATAGGTTACTTCCAAATCTTGGCTATTGTGAACAGTGCTGCAAAAAACATGGGAGTGCAGATCACTCTCTTTGATATACTGAGTTCCTTTCTTTTGGGTATACAACCAGCAGTGGGATTGCTAGATCATATGGTAGCTCAGTTTTTAGTTTTCTGAGGAACTTCAAAACTGTTCTCCGAAGTGGTTATACTAATTTACATTCCCATCAACGGTGGATGGGGGTTCCCTTTTCTCCATATCCTTGCCAGCATTTGTTCCCACCTTTCTTTTGGATATAAGCCATTATACCTGGAGTCAGATGATATCTTATTATAGTTTTGATTTGCATTTCTCCAATGATCAGTAATGTTGAGCACATTTTCATATGCCTGTTTGCCATTTGTATGTCTTCTTTTGAGAAATGTCTATTCAAATATTTTGCCCATTTTAAAAATTGGATTATTGGATTTTTTTCCTATAGAGTTATTTAAGCTCCTTATATATTCCAGTTATTAATCCTTTGTCAGACAAGTAGTTTACAAGTATTTTCTCCCATTCTGTAGGTTGTCTCTTCACTTTATTGTTTCCTTTGCTGTGCAAAGCTTTTTAACTTTATGTGACAACATTTGCACATTTTTGTTTTGGTGGCCTGTGCTCGTGGGGTATTGCTCAAGAAATTTTTGCCCAGACCAATGTCCTGAAGACTTTCCCCAAAGTTTTCTTGTAGTAGTTTCATATTGTGAGGTCTTAAAGTCTTTAATACATTTTGATTTGATTTTTGTATATGGGAACATATAGGGGTCTAGTTTCATTTTTCTGCATATGAATATCCAGTTTTCCAAGCACCATTTATTGAGACTGTTTTTTTTTCCCCCAGTGTATGTTCTTGGCATCTTTGTTGAAAATGAGTTCACAAAGGTGTGTGGGTGTGTGGATTCCTTTCTGGGTTCTCAGTTCTGTTCCATTGGTCTATGTGTCTGTTTTTATGCCAGTACGATGCTGTTTTGGCTACTAGAGCTCTGTAGTATATAATCTGAAGTTGGGTAATGTGATCCCACCAATTTTGTCCTTTTGGCTTAGGATAGATATTAAGCTATTTTGGGTCTTTTGTGGTTCCATATAAATTTTAGGATTTTTTTTTCTATTTCTGTGAAAAATGTCATTGGTATTTTGATAAGGAGTCCATTGAATCTGTAGATTACTTTGGGCAGTATAGACATTTTAACAATATTGATTCATCCAATCAATGAACATGAAATATCTTTCCATTTTTTTTGTTGTCCTCTTCAACTTCTTTCATCAATGTTTTATAGTTTTCATTATAGAGATATTTCAGTTCCTTGGTTAATTCCTCAGTATTTAATTTTAATTGTAAATGGGATTACCTTTTAATTTCTGTTTTAGACTTTACTGTTGGCATATAGAAATGCTACAAATTTTTATATGTTGATTTTACATTCTTAAACTTTACTGTATTTGTTTATCAGTTCTAATAGATTTTTTTTGGTGGAGTCTTTATGTTTTTCTAAATATAAGATTAAACCGTCTGCAAACAAGAATAATTTGACTTCTCCCTTTCCAGCATGGATGCCCTTTATTTCTTTCTCTTGTCTAATTGATCTAGGTAGAACCACAAGTCCTATGTTGAATAAGAGTGGTGAAAGTGGCCATCCTTGTCATGTTCCAGATCTTTAAGGAAAGGCTTTCAGTTTTCTCCAATTGAGTATAATACCAGCTGTGAGTCTTTCATATATGGCTTTAATTATGTTGAGGTATGTTCCTTCTATATAGTTTTTTGAGTTTTTATATAAAGGAATATTGAATTTTATTAAGAGCTTTTCAGCATCAATGGAAATGTTTTTTTTTTTTCTATGCTTGTTGGCTGCATGCATACCTTAAAATAATAAGAGCCATCTATGACAAACCCATAGCCAACATCATACTGAAAGGGCAAAGGTTGAAAGCATTCCCCTTGAAAACTGGCACAAGACAAGGATGCCCTCTCTCACCATGCCAATTCAGCATAGTATTGGAAGTCCTAGCCAGAGCAATCAAGCAAGAGAAAGAAATAAAAGGCATCCACATAGGAAGAGAGGGAGTCAAACTATTCCTGTTTGCAGATGACATGATTCTATATCTAGAAAACGACACAGTCTCAGCCCCAGAGCTCCTTAAGCTGATAAACAACTTCAGCTAAGTTTCAGGATACAAAATAAATGTACAGACATCACTAGCATTCCTATACACCAACAACAGTCAAGGCAAGAGCCAAATCAGGAATGCAATCCCGTTCACAACTGCCACAAAAAGAATAAAAATACCTAGGAATACAGCTAACCAGGGAGGTGAAAGATCTCTACAATAAGAAATACAAAACACTGCTCAAAGAAATCAGAGAGGACACAAACAAATGAAAAAACATTCCATGCTCATGCATAGGAAGAATCAACATTGTTAAAATGGCCATATTGCCCAAAGCAATTTGTAGATTCAATTCTATTCCTATCAAACTACCAATGATGTTCTTCACAGAAGTAGAAAAAACTATTTTAAAACTCATACAGAACCAAAAAAGAGCCCTAATAACCAAGGAAATCCCAAACAAAAAGAAGAAAGTTGGAGGCATCACTTTATCAGACTTCAAACTGTACTACAGTAACCAAAACAGCATGGTACCGATACAAAACCAGACACATAGACCAGTGGAACAGAATTAAGAGCCCAGAAATAAGGCCACACACCTACAACTATCTGATCTTCAACAAAGCTCGCAAAAACAAGCAATGGGGAATATACTTCCTATTCAATATATGGTGCTGGGATAACTAGCTAGCCATATGCAGAAGATTGAAACTGGACCCCTTCCTTACTCCATATAAAAAAATTAACTCAAGATGGATTAAAGACTTAAATGTACAACCCCAAACTGAAAAAAAAAAACCCTAGAAGACAATCTAGGCAATACCATTCTAGACATAGGACCTGGCAAAGATTTTATGACAAAGATAACAAAAGCAATTGCAACAACAGCAAAAATTGACAAATGGGATCTAATTTAACTAAAGAGCTTCTGCACAGCAAAATAAACTATTGATAGACAACCTACAGAATGGGAGAAAAATTTTGCAAACTATGCATCTGACACAAGTCTAATGTCCAGCATCTATAAGGACCTTAAACAAATTCACATGAAAATAAACCAAGTAACCCCATTAAAAAGTGGGCAAAGGACAAGAAGAGACTTTTTTTTTTTTTTTTTTTTTTTTTTGGAGACAGAGTCTCACTCTGTTGCCAGGCTGGAGTACAGTGGCAGGATCTCGGCTCACTACCACCTCCACCTCCTGGGTTCAAGTGACTCTCCTGCCTCAGCCTCTGGAGTAGCTGGGATTACAGGCACACGCCACCATGCTTGGCTAATTTTTGTATTTTTAGTAGAGACAGAGTCTCGCCCTGTTAGCCAGAATGGTCTCAATCTCCCGACCTTGTGATCTGCCCACCTTAGCCTCCCAAAGTGCTGGGATTACAGGTGTGAGCCCCTATGCCTGGCCAAGAAGAGACACTTTTATTGATCTTTTGGCTTTTTTCTTTTTCATTTCAAATTCATTTATTTCTGCTCTGAACTTGACTATTTCTTTTCTTCTAATTTTTTGTTTGGGTTGCTCTTGCTTTTGTAGTTCTTTAAAATACATTGTAAGATTATTTATTGGAAGTTCTTCTTTTTTGATGTAGGTTTTCATAGTTATAAAATTCCCTCTTAGTACTGCTTTTGCTGTATCCCTTAGGTTTTGGTGTGCTATGTTTCCATTATCATTGGTTTCAAGAAATGTTTCAATTTCCTTCTTACTTTCTTCATTGACACACTGGTTATTCAGAAGCATATTGTTTAATTCCCATGTATTTGTATAGCTTCCAAAATTCCTTGTTATTGCTCTCTAGTTTTACTCCACTGTGATCAGAGAAGGTATTATTTCAATTTTTTGGAATGTCTTAGACTTATTTTGTGACCTAGCATATGGTCTATCCTTGAGAATGATCCAGGTGCTGCAGTAAAGAAAGTGCATTCTGTAGCCACTGGATGGAATGTTCTTTAAGTAGCTATTATTTCCATTTGGTCTATAGTGCAGATAAAGTCCAATGTTTCCTTCTTGATTTTCTGTCTAGATGATCTGTTCAATGCTAAACGTGGGGTGTTGAAGTCTCCAGTTATTTTATTGGGACCTCTCTCTTTAGCTCTAATAATATTTGCTTTATGTATATCTGGGTGCTCCAGTGTTGGGTGCATATATATTTAAAATTCTTATCTTACTGAATTGACCCTTTTATCATTATGTAGTGACCTCTGTCTCTTCTTATGGTTTTTGTCTTGAAATATATTTTGTCTGATATAAGCATAGCTACTCCTGCTCTTTTTTTGGTATTCCATTGGCATGGAATATCTTTTTCCATACTTTTATATTCAGTCTATGTGTGTCTTTATAGGTAAAGTGTGTTTCTTGCACACAACAGATCACTGAGTCTTGTTTTTTAATCCATTCAGCCATTCTGTGGCTTTTGATTGGAGAGGTTAGCCTATTTACATTCATTGTTGTTGTTAATAAGTAAAGACTTACTCCTGTCATTTTCTTCTTTGTTTTCTGGTTGTTTTATGGTCTTCTCTTCTTTCTTTCCTTGCTGTCTTCCTTTTAGTGAAGGTGATTTTGACTGGTGATGTGAATGTTTCTCATTTTTTATTTTTAATGTACCTGTTACATGTTTTTTGGTTTGAGGTTACCATGAGGCTTGCAAATACCATTATTTTAAGCTGTTAACAACTTAACACTGTATAAACACAAGCAAAAAGAAAACAAAAACTGTAAGCCCTAACTTCCTCACCTGACTTTTAAACGTTTTGTTGTTTCTATTTATGTTGTACTGTGCTGTCTATATCTCAAAAATTTATTGTAATTATTATTTTTGATTGGTTCATTGTTTAGTCTTTCTTCTTGGAATAAGAGTAGTTTTCACACTACCCTTACAGTGTTACAATATTCTCTTTTTCTGTATACTTACTATTATCAGTGAGTGCAGGCTTATTTTGCAGCTGCAGGCGATTACTTATTGCTCATAAACATCCTTTTCTTTCTGATTGAAGTACTCCCTTTAGCATTTCTTGTATATCAGGTCTGGTGTTGATGAAATCCCTCAGCTTTTATTTGTCTAGGAAAGTCTTTATTTTTCCTTCATGTTTGAAGGATATTTTGGCCAGGTATGCTATTCTAGGGTAAATGGTTTTTTGTTTTTTTTTTGTTTTTTTTTTTCCTTCAGTACTTTTGATATATCATGCCACTCTGTCCTGGCCAGTAAGTTTTCCACTGAGAAGTGTGCTGCCAGATGTACTGAAGCTCCACTGTATGTTTTTTGTTTCTTTTCTCTTGCTGCTTTTAGGATTGTTTCTTTATCCCTGACCTTTGGAGTTTGATTATTAAATGCCTTAAGGTAGTCTTCTTTGGGTTAAATCTGCTTGGTATTCTATAACCTTCTTGTACTTGGATATTGATATCTTCCTACAGATTTGGGAAGTTCTGTTATTATCCATTTTAATAAACTTTCCACCCCTATCTCTTTCTCTTCTCGCTGGATTACCAGGCAGAGACCCTTGTTCTCTTTCCTTACTTTGTCCCAAACAAATGGGGTCTCTCTCTGTCCTGAGCCATCAGAAGCTGAGAATTAAGTGACATAAGCACTCCTGTGGTCACCACTTCTATGTCTGTGCTGGGTCAGACCTGAAGTAAGCAAAGCCCTGGATCTTATCCAAGGCCTGCTGTAACCACTCCCTGGCCATTACCTATTTTCACTTAAGGCCCTGGGGCTCTATACTCACTAAGTAGCAAAGCCAGCCAGGCCTGTATTCTTTCCTTCAGAGTGGCAAGTTCCCCAAGCCCTGGGCAGGTCCAGAGATGCTGTCCAGGAGCCAGAGACTAGAGTCAGAAACCTTAGAAGTATACCTGGTATGCTATTGTACTGTGGCTGAGCTGGCGCTCAAACCAGAAGACACAATCCTTCCCTCTCTTCCCTCCTCTTTCCAAAGGCAGAGGAGCCTCACCTTGTGGCCATCACCACCACAGGCCCATGGACGGTACTGCCAGACTACTGCCAATTTTCCGTTAAAGCATGAGGGTTGTTTCGTCAGCTTGTGGTGAATGCTGCTTGGCCTGGAACCCACCCTTTAGGGCAGTGGGCTCCCCTCTGCCCAGAGCAGGTCCAGAAATGCCATCCAAGGGCCAAGTCCTAGAATTTGGGACCCAAAGAGCTTGCTTGGTATTTTACTCCCTGTGGCTGAGCTGGTACCTAAGGTGCAAGACAAAGTCTCTAACTCTTCCTTCTGTTTTTCTCAAGCAGAAGGAGTCTCTTCCTGCAGCCACCCCAGCAGGAATTGCTGAGCCTCCTCTGAAGCCAGTAAATGTCAGGTCTCACCCAAGGCCTTCGACATAGTACCTGGGTATCACTGCTGGTTATTCAGGGTCTAAGGGCCCTTCAGTTAGCAGGTGATGAATGCTGCCAGGACTGGGTCCTTCCCTTCAAGACAGTAGGTTCCCTTCTGGCCCAGGGGGATGTGTCTAGTAATGTCATACAAGATTTAGGGCTGGGAAGGGGGCCTCCTAATACTGACCAGTGTCCTATCCTGATGTGGCTGAGCTACTATCCATGTTTAAGACAAATGTCCTCCCCACTCTTCCCTCTTCTATCCTCAAGCAGAAAGCAGGGGCATCTCTTTTACAGTTGTGAGCTGTGCATCCTGCGGTTATGGGAGTGGTGATGGCAGCACTCTTTTGGCTGTCCTGGCTGGTGTCTCAGCATGCCCTCCCCCCAACCCCTGTCTACTGTCTCTGTGCCCAGTTCAGCACTAGGACTCTCCTAAAAGTTGCAGTCCTTGTGGCCTACTCTGCCTTTCAAGTTTATTGGCAGCCCCAGAGCACTTTAGCCCGTGATGGTGTGGTTTGTGGGACGTCAAGTTCCCACCTCTGTGATTGGTGATTCCACTCTGGCTAGGGCTGGTTTAAATGCTCCCTTCATGGGTGGGCATCAGCTAAGTTTGTTCTGGTTTTCCTTCCTGTTATAACAGAACAGCACTGAGTTTAATGCCTCCCATTTGCTGCACTCTCCCTCTCCGAGACCACAGAAATACTCTGCACCATGCCACTGCTGCTATGGGTGGGGGAGGGATGGCATCAGCGATTCGAGACTGTTTTTTCTACCTCTTCAGTGTCTCTCTCAGTGATATGAAGTTAAAAACCAGATACTGTGAGTGCTTACCTGATTTTGAGGTCTTTTGAAGGCGCTTTTTGTATGTAGGTGTTAAATTGCTGCCCTTGCAAGAGGGAATGATCAGTGCAGCCTTCTATTCTACCATCTTGCTCAGCCTCCTCCTCAAATCTAACATTATTGATGCTCAAAGAAAATTAAGTACAAAATCTATTCATTATTTACCATGTGCTATGAATACTATTCTATCTTTATCTTATTTACATTCTCAATTTTGTCATTTTATTTTTCTTTATTAATAAGAGTAAGGCCATATAAAATGGCCTTTTATTGAGCAGCTATCATACCTGAGACATTTAATACATTATTTTAAATTTTTACAAATATGCCACAAGGTAGGCGTATTTGTTAATTAAATACAGCCAAACATGGATATCTGCAATTAAAGTCAGAGGTGGAAAAGCCATAGTATGGAAAGACCGTCGGTATAATTAAATCTGTAAAAGTGTATGACTCATACCAATCACCGGGTGAATTACAGTTATAGGATAGAATTTAAGTGTCATAAACCTTGATCATTCAAAAATAGTAATATGATTAATATAAATTATGAGAAAAATGGGGGAAACAGGAAAATGGAAGTGAGCTCATTGCCTCATTTTTTTCTATTTTGGAGAAAACAGAGTGAGTTAGATACTTTATATTTCATACTTGAGGGATAATAGATTCCAATTAATATTTATAAGTCAAGAAATAGATATTTATGTGTACTATTTAAAATGAGATAATTATTCAAAGCCATGCATGTTATGTAAAATAGGGAAGAACACAAGATGATGGATATGGTGGATTGATTTGCTCAATGTTTATTTTTAAATGCCTCCCTAGATTGCAGAGAAAAAAACAGCTAAAATCTTCATTTCCCAGACTTCCATGTACGAGGGCTTCAGGTGTGTTTTAGGATCTACTAAACGTATGCATTCACTGAGAAATGTGGAAGTGAGTAAGAAGGAGGTGGAGTATGAGGCATCCATTTTCAGATGGAGATCACAGTGGAAGTAATGTGGCCCAGGAAAAACCACTGGCCACAGTGGGAATGGCAGTTTTCCAGACTGTGACAAAGTGAGTGCCATGGTCATATCTTTGTGTTTCAGTATTTCTCTGCAGAAATCATCACAGGTTTCTCAATCACAATCACAGATGAGTGCAATCCTAGGAGCAAAGAACTCTGCCCAAATCCTGCTCTTCCAACCCTACCAACAATTTCACAAACCATTGACCTAGCTGGTAGTAAATCCCCTTCTATTTGAACTATCTAGAGTGGTTTCTGCAGTCTGTAGCTGTAGCCTAGCATTCTCTCTCTCTCTGTCACACACAGACACACACGCACACACATCTTATAGAGGAAAAGATAGTTACAAAGAAAAACATAAAATAAAATGAAGGGCTTAAGATTAAGAAGAGTATTTATAGTTAAATGGGATATAAATTCACCTTATATCACATTAAATTTTAAAAAGTATGTAGAAAAAGATGCAATCATAACAAGTTGGCTCTAAAAGTACAAGTGAAGATATATCTTGAGAGATGCAAACAAAGAAATCAACAGTTGACAATACAGGCATCAGGCAAGGTTAAATATTATTGCAAAATATAAATAACTTGGATAAATACTGTCATTTAAAAATGATGGAAAGTGAATGCCACAATGAATTTTTGAGCATGAGATAATATAGAACCAAAATACAAGTACTAAAAATTGCTGTAAGTACAAAAACAAATTGATTGAAATAAATAGTAGCAAGAAACTTAATTTTGTTTCTCTCTAGACCAAGGGTCAGGAAACTTTTCCATAAAAGGCCAGATAGTGAAGGTTTTAGACTTTGATGTCCATACAGTTTCTGTCACAGACATGCAACTCTATCAGAGATATTATATAAACAAACATTTATATCTGGCTACCAATAAACCTTTACAAAAACAGGCTTCAGGTGTGTTCCCCTACTGTTTATAGTCTGCCAACTCCTGTTCTAAACCACAATTGATCAACTAAGTAAACACAGAGCTGAACAAAATAACACAGTAAGAGTTATCTAATTGATGTAAATTGACTATAATTTCATATAAACAGAGAAAGTACTTTCTTTCAAGTTCTGTGGAAGATTTACAAAAATTAACAATCAGTAGCAGTGGAGGGCTTTCTAGCCTCATGTTTTTTTCATTTGTTGAGTGCTTTCTGTGTGTTCGAAATCAAACCATTTACATGAATCAACTCATCTGATCCTCATAACAGCCTCATGAAATAGGCACAATTATCTTCATCCCCATCTTACAGGAAGGAACCACGAGGGTAGTTTTAAAAACAATGATTCTATCTTGTTTCCCAGTATTCTTATATTTCACCCAAACAGGTTTGCAATGTATAGGTTTTCTGTCTCCATACCTTTATCCTTGCTGTTCACTGCAAAAAGAAACTTTATCGCATTTCCACCATCAAATTCCAGTCTTTATCCAAGGTCCAGCTCAAGTGTGACCTCTTTTATTAAACTTCCCTCTTTCTTTTTATCAGATGAAAGAAGGCTCTATCCTTCCTTGTGCACTCAGAGGCCTTTGTTCTCTATTTGCAAGCATGTTGCCCTTTATTGCTCGTTATCCATCTGTGTTCCTTCTCCTTTTTCTGCAAACCACTGGATGGGTAAACTTAGTTAACTTTTCTTTATAAGTAGAAGGAGTACACTATAAAAAATGATAAAAGCTTGTATATATATATATATATATATATATATATATATATATATATATATATATATATATATTACATTAACCAGTAACACAGCTGTTTATTGTCATTATCAAATATTATGTATTCTACATAATTGTATGTGCGATACTTTTATTGGACTGGCAGCGCAGTAGGTTTGTTTATACCGATATCACCTCAAACATGTGAGTAATATGTTGCTCTATCACATTACAATGGCTTTGACCTCACTAGGTAAAAGGAATTTTTCAGCTACATTACAATGTTATGGGACTTCCATCAGCTATACAGTCTATCATTGACCAAAATGTCATTATAAGGCATAGAGCTGTGTGTGTGTGTGTTTGTGTGTGTGTGTGTGTGTGTGTGTGTGTGTGATGATAGTTTTTCCTCCAGGAATTTTTGACTCTTCTATATAAATATCACAGTACTGCCTTTTGACAGTCCAGTAATTGTGTTTGTAATTATTTACATTGGAAAGAAGAATATGGTAGAAGGGGGACCCAGGAAGTTACATGTGACAGCTGGATTAAGTAGCACAGGACAATCTTAGATTGGATTTCCTCTGGGACCACAACTCCCCTTGGGGACTTTTCTCATCAGAGCTTCAAGCATCCAGCTCCAGAGCCATGATGATCACACCCATGAGTTAGTGCTCCTGTAGCATCTGTAAACTGTAACTAACTCACATAGTTTCTCTGTGAGGCAGCCTCTCTCTCCAGGAGATATGAAAAGCTTTCTGTAAATAATTTCCACAGTCAGGCGTCATCAATACTTTTTGTAACAGATGCACCCACTAAATTTAATTTGAGGGAAAAGTGAGGATTCATTGAATTCAGTAAACAGTTTATGACTCAGTAAGAGGTTTTTACAAAGCTACCCAAAGTTTCTTTAAGAGAAGATTTCCTTGCTGTATTTTTCTGGACTCATGAAGTAAGCAGTTCTTCTATCATGAAAGAAAGTTAAGTAAAATATTTGCTTATTGTTTTGTTTGTGGTGGTGGCAGCTAGGGTTCCTGGTCTGCAGGCTGACTATACCATACCTCCCATTTCCCCTTATCATTCGTTATTTGCACCAAACAGTAAGAAATCTTGTAAGGATGCACATTTAAAACTAAAAATAAGAACTAAAGAGAAAACTCACTATTCCCTATTTTCAAATATGGAGACAAATCTCTGGTAAATTGCGAGTTGTTTAATAAGCTTTCAAGAATCTCCATACTGGGGTTGAGCTCTGATGAGTGGGTCAGAACAGGTCTACTCAGTTGAAGGGGTTTCAGTGAGTTGTTCTTTTGATTTTTTTTCCAAAGCAAAGGAAAGTACTTCATAAGCATTAGCTCACTCATCTTCTCACCTACATGACATATGCTTGATTTTTTTAAAAACCAACATCTTTCCTGACTTTGTAGAGAAAGGTGAAACGTAAGTATTGCTTTTCCATAAGGAGAACTGTCTTGACCACACGATGGCCCATGAGGGAGCTGATATGCCTCTGGGTCTATAAAAACAAGAACAGAAAGCTTTGTTTTCCTCTAGTGAGTAATATACCAGAGGTGGAGATACATATGAAATTTCCCTTTAGTCTTGCAGCACACTGACTAGTAAGTTCTATACAGGCAGCTTTAGGGTGAGGACTGAGCTAAAATATATTTTAGGAGAATCCAATGAGAACTTGTGAGGAGAAGCGTGTGTGCACAGTGGGAACAAGGACACACGTCTTTGTGTTCATCTGTAGAATGCAATGAAACAGGAAGGGATCGGGGGTCATTCCAGGACGACTGGTAGGTTACAGCTTGCATTCTAACTCTGGCCAGTGGAAACTTGATGCTCTGTAAGAGTATGACGAGGACACTGCAGCTGCAGCCAGCCTCAATAGTAACAGCAACAGCTGCCTTCGGAGCAAGACAGAGGAGTCAACACAAAAGCTTCTCTGGATTTTCCCTACCACTTATTTTAAAGATAAGTGAAGGAGATTGGTCCAGGTCACACAGCTAGCAAAATCTGGGTTATCTGGATCCTAGTCTTGCATTCTTCCAAATTATACCCTTGAAAGTAAGAAATCTATATGTAAAAAAGTAATAGGTTAACTATATTTACAAACAAAATATACCAATTGTACTTCCATAGAACAGGACTTCATAAAGCAAGGAATGATCTGCTCTCTTTTGACCATATAGAATAACAAGAGCACAGTGATAATAATTATGATAATAGTATTAGTAATAACAATAACAAGGACAGTGAATACAAATACTATCATCATTCGCAATGACAGAGCAACTAATGATATTAATAACAACGAGAAAAATTTACTAAGTGTTGCTTGCCATTAGAGTTCTAAGTTTGAACATATGTTACTGTAATAACCAAGATGAATAAATAATAATATGTTAAATGCTGAGCAGAAAATTCAGGCAAGGAGGGGGCAGTGCACATGTGTGTGTGTGTGTGTGTGTGTGTGTGTGTGTGCATGTGTTTAGGTGTGCAGTCAATGTTACCAATTTAGAAAGGGTGTCCTGGGCAGCCTTGATTTATCATTTTGAAATAAGCATTTATTGGGAAACAATGAAGAACAAGATACTAATTCTTCAAGAATGATTAAAACATAGTTCACACCCTCAAGGAGATCACAGTCATTTGGACTAAAGACACAACATCAAAATCTCCATCTGATCTGCTTGATGGAGAGTTTATGAGGTGCGGCTAGGAACAGGTAGAGCAGAGCACCTAACTGTGATATTGGGGATGGGAGGCAGGGTTAGAGGAAGGCTATGAAGTAAAGATGGACCAAGATGGACTTTACCTCAGGAATGAGATATGCACAAGGAAGCAGAAAGTCATTTCCAGCAGAGAAAATAGCATGCATTAAGACATGTGAGCATGAAAAAGCTAGGTTTTCTGGAAATGACAAGAAGGTCAACATGGCAAAACACTGAGTGGTAGGGGGAGAAAACAGTGGAAAGTGAGGTAGGAAAGGTGTGGTGGAACCAAATCGTGACTCGTGATAATATTTAGAATTTTCTGAACACATAATTATATTGATATCTAAGTGCTGTACATGTATCAGCTCATTTAACCTTTTCAATATCCATATGACTTTGGTATTATTGATTATCCCTTTTTTACAGATGAGGAAAGTGAGGCACAGGCTCACTTTTGGCAAGGGGCAGGTCCTGGATTTAAGTGAAGACTAGCTGGCTCCAGAGCCCCCCTGTGTCTTCACGTGCCATGCTGAATCCCCACAGAATCCCTGCAATCAAACATTTAGTTTCAAAGAAGCCACAGTGTGGAGAAATGACTTTGGACATGAAGCTAGAATCCCGGGTGTATTAGTCTGTTCTCATGCTGCTAATAAAGACATACCTGAGACTGGGTAATTTAGAAAGGAAAGAGGTTTAATTGACTCACAGTTCCACATGCTGGGGAGGCCTCACAATCATGGTGGAAGATGAAGGAAGAGCAAAGGGACTTCTTACATGGCACTGGGCAAGAGAGAATGAGAACTAAGCGAAAGGGGTTTCCCCTTATAAAATCATCAGATACCGTGAGACTTACTACCATGAGAATATTGTGCAGGAAACCACCCGGATGATTCAATGATCTCCCACGGGGTCCCTCACACACATGTGGGAATTATGTGAGCCACAATTCAAGATGAGAGATTTGGGTGGGGATAAGCCATACCATACCACTGGGTCATGGCATTTGCTTTTGGATCACATACAGGAAGCTTTGTGGTACTTAGGTTCACTCTCTATAAAACAGAAGGATGCTGAGGTTCTTTCTAGTCTACGATTGTGGGTTATACAACTCCCATGTTAAAAGTCTCACTTGTTTGTGACTTCAAAATAAAGAAATTACTTTCTTCCATCCTTTACTAATATGGCATGAACTCTACATGGCAAAATTATGAGAATATACCCTGCTTTCTATGTACCTTGCACTCTACCCATGGTCGCCTGTGAGTTTCTCTTCTCTGTGGCTGCATCTGGTTTTCAGTCTACTAAGGTGGTCATAGTTCAGCTGACCCCAGTGCTACACTGTCCTCTGCTGGAGACAGCCCCATAGTTCTGCCCTTGCCTCAGGGAGGAGGCTTTGTTTTCCCTATTCTCTGTAGCAGAGCAAAGGTCAATGTGTGGCTTTTGAAGACATCTTACTGAAGATTTAGGGATAAGTAGAGTATACCATGGAGAGTGGCCTTCATGGACTAACGGAGCCCAAACCAGTCCCTGAGTTGGCCTCTGGGCCTTCAACACAGCTGAGAACCTCTTGACCCTGGCCTTGGAGTCATCAGTTTCCTGTTACCCCTGGGTCATAGGATATTTTTTTATTGGAACTCGACTGTGTAATTTTGGGGGTTTTTACTCAATATAATGTTTATGATGGGAAGCTCATCTCACCATTTTTGATGATCCTTGAATATAATCTTAAGTTCAAACTACACCCCAAATACAATATATGTAGTTCAAAAGTTAACAGTTTAATCTTTACTTCATCTCCAATTCTTCTGCATTAAATGTCAATTTCTTCTACATGAGTAAAGTTATTTGAAATCTATTGAAATAACTTTAAAATTATTTTCAGCAGTATTTTTCTTCACTTGTGCCTCATTCATTTTAAAACTATTCCTGGTTCAAAATAACCTGGAAAAAATAACAAGAGAACCTTATGTGGTCCATCCAAGTCAATCAGTCATGGTAACGCCACCTATTCTCCTCTGTCCAGCCTGCTGCAGATGCATTGTTGTGTGTCAGTGACATTTGCATCTTTGAAAAATTCCCAGAGATTGGTGGACTATATTACCGGACCTTGGCTGAAACCCTTTGGTCCAACATGAGCTGAGAATGTGCTTTGTATTTTGTTGCTTTGGGCTTGGTTGGAAATACATGATTCGTGGTTTGAGAAAATAAATATGTAAGTAAAACAGAGGCGTAGTTTGACCTTGTCCTGAGAGTAGAGGTTTAAGAAAACAGAGATTTAGCAGGAGAAGAATAAGGGAAAGAAAACAATTATGGTGCCAGTTTGTTGAACCTTTCTCTGATTCACACCAAATAAACCATCTACTGTGTAGTACTGTCAGGCCTTTGTCAGTGTGCAGATGACTCAAACACCCGAGCTCAGAGCAAGCAAACACTCAAAGCTACAAGTGCATTCAATGAGTTCTCACTGAATATCTTTTGTATGATAGACCCTGTGTGATTGCTGAGAAAACTATGGTAAGAAAAAGAGTCTTGTTTTCTGCCCTCATGGAATTAGAGTCCAGTTTGAGAAGTAGACTTAAACAAAATGACCATACAGATGTATAATATACCTAGAACTTAATTTATACAATTTGGTGCCTGTCAGAGAAAGACACCATCCCATGTTTAGATCACAGAAAGATGCTGTAATTCTAAAGAGAGAATTTAAATGTAATTTTTCTTATTAACTATTGAGTACACAAATGCAAATAAGGAAAAATGGATGTGGTATCTGAGAAAGCCAAAGTAGCACAGAGGACATTCGCTTATGTGGATTAGGTTTAAATGCAGGTACAAAAGAGGAAAAGGGAAGTCCATATCCAAGAATGAATACACAGGAGTGTTGTGATACTCTGAGTTCACTCTCAGCAATGTTAAAATCTGGAATGAACTAAGACTTGAAAATAATGGCAGAAGCTAAAAGAGCTTTATTATAACTATGTTTTCAATAAAATTAATTAAAAAGGAGAAACCTCTGTTTTGAACAGATAGTCTACTGCTAGTAGATGATAAAAAGATGACAAAACAATTGTACTTTTCTCTACCTAAGAGAAAAAATCTTCCCATTGGAAACAATAAAGTAATAAAATAGAATAAAGAAAAGAGCAATAAAAGGCAAAACTATCTGGATATTTTAGATGAATTTATAGCAATAGGCTAATTACATTTCAAACCATATTTGCTGGAAATATTATGTCAAATGGAATAATGAAATGAATGGAAAAATATAAGCAAGTTCTCTCCCTATTTTGTAAAAGAGGAAAGGAAATTTTCTAAAAAATAACTCATTTTAACATCAGGCAAAATTCTGATATAAATCACCCATGATCTTCAGATGAATTGTGGGTATTAAGAATATGTTGGTCATCGGGGCATTAATATTGGTTCAGCAAAAACAAGTTATGTCAAAATTACCGTGTTATTTTTTATTATCGTTATGGTACTGGTAGATCAAATAAAAAGATTAGCAATATCTTTATTAAATACAAGTAAGGAAAAAAATTTTAAAGAAGGAAAGAACAGAAGAAAAAGAGGTGAGAGAAAGAGAGGAAGAAACCTATTCTTTGTGGCTCCAAAGACAGAAAGGAAACTAATTAGTAAAAGTTACTATGAGGGACACATTGGATAAATGAAGAGAGAAGAAACAAGCATGTTGGTTTTGACTCCTTACCAATTGTCTTACTAGACAATGGTGTACATTATTTCAATCAACCAGCCCCAACAGTTTCATGAGGTAGGCATTTCATCTTCCTTTTGTAGAAGAATGATTTGAAGCCTTAAAAATTTGCCATACATGCTCAAGTTTACGTGCCAGAATGGGATAGAACCAAGATAAATAGTCATGTCTCTCCAACGCTGAAGGACCGGCATTTCGCACTTCGTCACCGTGCCTCAGGGTAGGGAAGAGTCTTCCCACCATAGGAGATGGTCACCAGTGAAATGGTCTGCTCTCCAATGAAGGGCACCTGCTGAGAGCATTTTACCTGAAAGATGACCTCTCTGAGATAAGAAAGAGGGGCTGTAAAAATTGGGTAAGGAACTGAAAATGCTGTAAAAGAACCCTCCCAACTCTCAGGTACTCTATGATTCTGCCTTTCTAAAGCGTGTTAGCTTGCTTGCTGTCATAACCCTTCCAGAATATTTACATTTTTCAAGATTAATTTGTTAAGCAAAAGAAGTGATAAAATTTTAGTAGAGATATTTTGAGGAAGAAAAATCTCATCAGTAAATTACACCCTGTAGGCAGCTGCCTACATTGCCTTCGTTAAGAAACGCGTGTTTTGATTCCAGCTCTGTTGTGTTACTGTGTGTGACTAATGGCAACTTGCTATATGTCTATTTATGTACTTTTCTCATTATGTTTGTTACTGACTTCACAAGAATAAGGATAAACTAATAATTTAATTTGCAACTTTAAAAACAAGTTTCAGTGCACAATAGGCTTTTTAACCTTTCTCCCTACTTATGGAATATTACTTAATATGTAAACCTATACCATCAATTCCATGCATAATATATAAGCAGTCAGGACATAAGTTGCTGAGTTACTGAAGCACAAAGAAATAAAATCTCCTAAAAGAAAGAAATCTCCTAAAAGAAAGACAAATAAAAAGTCTATAAAAGTCATACTGCCACTTCTGGTGTGTCTTAAAAATCTTTTATTTTTTAAATTACCTGTGAATTACACTTCTTCTCACCTCTTTTTGTATGAAAATAATAGTTAATTTGAAAATGAACTTTATATGTTTGCCTTTTTCTCAGCCAACTCATTGGCTCTCTGCTACCCTATTAATTATATTTGCCTAAGCCTTTCTTGTTTGTGGTTACTACGCTTCTATTCTCTTTTCTAGTCAGAAGATGGGATGAATATACTGTTGGAGAAAATACTTCTAGAAACCAAAAAGAAAATTTGAATTATCCTAATTGGAATCTAACTGAGATCTAAAAAGGTTCATATTCTACTCCAATTTGAAATCCATACTTAGTAAGAGAATTCTGATCCCAAGAAGAAAGTGGCATCACTTCCCCTCTTTTTTCATATCCTGAAATGAGGGAAGGGGACCTAAGATTTATTGACACTGGAAAATAAAACCATGCAACCCTAAGCGCTGCTAGGCACCTTGCATGCATGATCATACTTAACCATCACAATAACCCCTTGACAGATGAGGACATCAAGGTGGAAAGAAGTTAGGTTACTTGCCACAATGACAAATCTAATCAGTGGTGAAGTCATAATCTGAAGTCTACATTAGAACCCAAAATCAGCATCTTCTTTACTGCACCACTCAAAGAAGTTTTCATTACTCAGAACTTAACTATATTTAATCCACGGATTGGGTAATACACATTTTTTTTTCCTTTCAAAAAGCCAGTGAGATGGAGGTAGGAAATCGGATTCTCAGTTAAGACAAAAGCAGTAGGGCCATTGAAACTCAGCAGACAAAACTGGCTCCAGTGCTACATCTGTTGGTGTTAACAATAATGAAAGGGTAGGCAAGACCATCTTGGTTCAGAAAATTACTAGAGGTGGATCATGGCAAAGAGTTGAGGTGGTATTTCCTTATCGGGAGTCACATGAGAAGCTCTCAGATGGTGAGGTCACAGATACAGGCCCAGGGAAAAAAGACTGACAGGCAAATTAATGCAGGGCTCTGGCTACTTAACGGAGGCCCAGACCAGGTCGGAGGCGATGAACAGGGAAAGGAAAGGAAAGGAGACAAGGAGGGTTGTTACTTTACTAGCATGAGAAGTTACCAGTTCCACAGTGTGGTAGATGGAAGGAGAGCTTTGGGGGAAGGATTCAGGAATGTGGCCCACTTCTAAGGCATACCATTATAAAGACTTGAGGTCAAGGTGGAGATAAACCTTGCATGTAGGGGCAGAGTTGGGGGGAAGGATAAGTGGGGGAACATTAGTTCTAAAATCAGAGATGAGACCAAAATAAAATCTATTTCAAATCACCCTAGGAAATCCCTTAAATCACCCATAATATACAGTGATTCTCATACTCTATAAATCTGAGACTCACTAAGCTAGATTAAAAGATGTGAACAAAACA
This sequence comes from Homo sapiens, assembly GCF_000001405.40. Classification (NCBI taxonomy): domain Eukaryota; kingdom Metazoa; phylum Chordata; class Mammalia; order Primates; family Hominidae; genus Homo; species Homo sapiens. Next base: position 76,219,018 of record NC_000013.11, on the reverse strand, counting down.
TTCATCAATTTGGCCCAGACAAAAGTATTCTTGCTTGCTTTAGGATTTACTCAACTTGTTCTAATTTTAACCTTCTGTTGCTTTAAAATATGGTAATGGATTTGTTGGTTGTTGAAGGAATTGAATGTGATTGTGGTGTTACATCTTTTCTTATATTAAAATCTTTAATTCTAAAATCAGTATGTCACATACATTACCACATTAACACATCAAGACTGGAAACTGATGATTGGAACAGAGACAAATGTGTTGGTGAGTTGTGGGGAGCTGTCAGGGGACTTATGGACTATAGCTGTCCTATAGTCTATAACGAGCCAGCTGAAGATGGACAGAACAGGAACAATGAGAAGGTACATAGAAGATGCAGATGCTGGGTCAAATTGGTGGTGATAAAATCTGGTCATTATCTCTTTGTAGCAAGTAGGGGATCTTTCATGGTTTGGGCAAAAATTTTCTGAATCACAAAGAAGTCCCATGTAACAATCGTGAGATGTATCATTCTACATATATTCATTCTCTGATAATTATGTCATGTCTATCAATTTCTCACCATAGGCATATATAAAAAATAAGATGATAAAGTAATGGCATTAGGTGAGTTAATTAGCATACTAAAATATGCACGGTCCAAACGAACATAATGACTTGAGAGATAATGTACAAGTTGTAAAAAAAAAAAAATGAATAAGAAGATTATATTTTATTAGAGAAACACTTAGTTATTAACCAAAAATATCATAGTGGTTGATATGATCAATATTTGGTTCAGAAGGATTTCAGTTAAGAAAAAAATCAATCTTCTCTCAAAGATTAAAGATATAGCATTAACTAGGATAGTTCATAAATACCTGAAGTCATTTTCAAAAGTGATCATTGGAAACAGTGCTCCAAAAGGGAATAATTTTACAGAACCGGGAAGGAAATCCTACTCCCTTTCTTGAGAAACAAATACTATGATTTTATTGAATACTAGTATAATACCAACTAGCAAACTTTCCAAAAGCTTTCTCAGATTAAACCGTAAGTGAATTACTTTCTCTCCTCCATTCTAGTCCTGCTGCAGGATTTTGAATGCTGAGAACACTAGAGTTCCAACTTCTAGGAGTGGTTTGGTCTCAATGGCTGAGTCAAATCACCACCCCTGTCCAACTACAATGGGCAGACAAGGATGAACATGTTCTTTCCACTCTGTTTTTTGTGGTCTTCTCCATTCTCTTTGCACCATTCTTCATTACGTCCTCTTCTATCTGCCATTGTAAATGAGATTGCTTCCTTTTCTGAATTTCCTCATTGTTTATGCTTTTACCTTATTTTACTTTGCATTGGATGTGAATTTTACTATCTTTTCCTACTTGATCTTCTATCTTTGAGGGCAGGATCCCTGGCTAATAACAATAGCCATCATGTTTTGAGTGGTCACTATGTGCTAGTCATAGTGCAAAGCAAATCACTGGAATTATTTACCTTCATCCTCATAACAAGCCAATGAGATGGGTGTTACTATTATCCCCTTTCACATGGGGAAACTGATGATTGGTTAATGATCTTATCCAAGTCTACACAGCTGGTCACAAAGAATGGGGACTGGAACTCAGGATGTCTGTTTGGAATAAATGCACAAATGACAGAAAATATTCCTCTCTCCTGACCTCGCCTTAGGGGAATATTCTGAATATATTAAATAATAAAATGTGGTTACTGTAGAAATCTACCTATCCCTGCTTTTATGAACAATTTTGGCCAGAAAAAAAACTATGTGATAATAGAACATGTACAGAATTTGAATTTTGTCTGAGGCAAAGAGACACCTTTCATGGTTAAACTGAGCATTTCATAAAAATATTTTGTTTCTGATTTGTAGGTATTTTAAATAAATCTTTTAAAGAATTCAGTCCTTTGCACACAATGCTGCATTCAAATATTCAAATATTTCATTCTTGGTTCATTTCTTCCTTTCCTCTCTGATGATTCTTTGGGGTTTTGGCAATGTTGAAATTCTGGTTTAGCTTTGCTAATGCTCGCCTGGTAATATTTTTCTTTCCAATTTGCAAGCAGCAGCTGTGTGATGGTGTGTGTGCATGCTGACACCCTCCATTCCTACTTTATAGCTCTTGTTAGCAAGCCAAAAGCTATGCATCATTCATGCAGAGTGATCCCATTTCTGTACCCTGCCCCTCTGCACACACTTAAAACTAATTGAGTAAGTTATTTTAAGATAACGGCAATCATGGATTTGATGTTTATCAAATTCTTAAGATAAATCCTTAGAGATCCAAATGACATAATTCTTATTCCTGCTTAGACTTATCAAGGATCAAGTGAAAATACATTAAAATATGCTTTATACACTGCTTAGACCATTAGTACATTTTTCCAATTATATTTTTAAGTATATTAATACATTTAATATATTTATTTTGTGATTTAAAAAAGATCTTAAATTTAGTACTTAGATATCACATTCATGATACTTCCTACTGTGCAATAGCGGCTAAGACCATAGCCTTCTGCATTTTTGAACATAAAAGCTCAGATCCTTACTCTGCCCAATTATAAACTGTAGGTCAAGCTACCTCTTTTTCTGAGGTCTCTGTTTTTCATCTAAAATAGAAGCATAGTAAGAGTTTGCATGAAATAATGAAGCCAAAGGGCACAGAGCTCAGAGTGCCTTAGTCCTCATCCTCCTACGTCTACACATCCCTTCCTAACCCATGGCATTAATCTCATTTGGCTTCTGTTGGCCCTAGCATTTATATCTGTTCCCCATGTTCAAGATTCACATATCCACCCCTTACTTGAGATCTCCACTATGATGTTGAATGGACATCTCAAACTAAATATCAAAACAGATCTATGATTTCTATCCTCCACTCCCTTCTGAGAATCCCCTGCAACCCCCAATCTGCTCTCTATCTTACCTTCCCCATCTCAGCAAATAACATCATTTACCTGTTGCTCAGACCCAACCCCTAAGAATTATCTGTAATTTCTCATTCTCCTTTTACTCCATCATTCAATTCACCAATAAATCCTTTGGGAACTACCTCTAAATTATATCCAGAATTTTGACCACTTCTCATTTTTCCTACTGCCAACATCTGTTTTCTTGGATAACTGAAACAGCCACATAACTGTTCTCTCTTCTCCTTCATCCCCAGCATGACTATCATTCATTGTTCATATAGTGTATCTTCCCAAAACATAAATCAGATTACATCAGTACCCTGCTGAAGCTTCTTTGATAAATAGCAAGGAGAATAACATGGAAACTTCTAAACTCTTTCTTCTAGACTACGAGATCCTGCATCATCTAGCCTGTGTTTGCCTTTCCAACCTCATCTCCTTCAACACTCCCCATTGTTCTTTGAGTTCCTCGTTCACACTAATCTCATTTCCTTCTCAGCCTTCTTGCACTTGCTCTTCCTTTGGCTTGGAAGACTTAACCACTGAACTTCCCATTGTTGCTTTCTTCTCATTAATTCAGTGCCTGCTGCAAATGTAATTCCTTAGGATAGTGCTCACTGACCAACCTAGTTAATGTAGATCCTTCATCACTTATGACTGCCTTGCTTATTTTCTACATAACACTAATCATACATAAAATTATATTCACTTGGTTTGGTTCCAGGCTGTTAGCACTGGAGAAGCATCTGAAACAAACTTGGTGCCTAGAACATATTTGCTGACTAATTGACTGGACAGGGAAATCGAATAAGAGAAGGGAATTCTCCTAATTGCCCAGAGAGAGAAATAAACATATCTTTCAGAAAAGTTGTAAACAGTTTTGAAACCAGGTCTGTATTCAAATTCTTGCTCTAATTTTTGTTGTTTTGACCTTAGGAAGTACTAACCTTTCTAAGTCTTAGTTTCAACATCCATAATATGGTGATAATAAAACCATTTCTATTTTTGCTTTCCAGTGAAAACTAAATAGTATGTGTATATGGTTTTTAGCACAGTGCCTGGCACATATCAATAAATAAGTATATAATAAGCAAATGCAAGTTTTATTACTATCACCATTATTGCAGTCATCATCCATAGGTGGGAATTGAACAATGAGAACACTTGGACACAGGAAGGGGAACATCACACACCAGGGCCTGTTGTGGGGTGGGGGGGAGGAGGGAGGGATAGCATTAAGAGATATACCTAATGTAAATGACGAGTTAATGGGTGCAGCACACAAACATGGCACATGTATACATATGTAACAAACCTGCGCGTTGTGCACATGTACCCTAGAACTTAAATAAAAAATATATGTGTGTGTGTGTGTGTGTGTGTGTGTGTGTGTATGTGTATGTAATTCAGAGTATTACAGAGCACATGAGATGATTTGGAAAGGAAGTAATCAAAGATCAAGAAAAAGTGTGTTTTTTAAACAATTGGTTATTTTAAACCTTAGAAGTAAGCAAAAAAGCATAACTTTCATAGGAATATGATTGAAAATGTGCAAGAAAGTTAGTGTGAACTTTGGCACTTGAAAGAAGCCTATGCAATGATCTGCAAACCTGAAATAAATCTACGCTCACGGAGGATTCAGTGGGGAGGCCTTCAGACATACGTCCCAAATGATACTGAGATATTTGAGAATATGCTGCTGAATCAGGTTCACACATTTAGCCAGAAAGATGACAACAAAGTAGTCTTTACTCATGTATACTTTTGGAAATACAAAACCCCCTGCTTGCCTTTTACTGTGAAAAGAGTAGGAGAAACTATTCTGAATGGGGCTTGGGTGAAGACTGTGAAGCACACCAACTGCACCATGGAACATTCAAAAACCAACTGCCAAGTCATTCTCACCACTGCTGTGAGGGGCCCTTTTCTCTCTCTCCATCCAGATACTATGTGACTCTTAATGTCAACAGGCAACAAGCAAAAAAAAAAAAAAAAAAAATCCCCAAGAAGAATATAGGGGTATTCCCTGGACCTCTCGGCCTCTGGTAGAAAGAAAATAGAAGAAAACTGCAGTGTCACTAAACAGAAGCTTAGAGAATGGCAAGCTCATCACTATGGCTTAGGCCAGTGATTATTAAGGAGAGAGATTCTATATTAATGGCCTAAACAAACAGTATCAACATCGCATAGGCACTGGTTAGAAATGCAAATTCCTGAGTCTGCCCCAAATCTACTGAATCAGAAACTCTGAGATCAGGACCCACCTGTCTGTGTACTAACAAACCCTGAAGGTAATTCTCATACATGTTCCAGTTTGAGAACAGCTAGGCTAGGCTGTAGCAGACAAATCTGACCACCACACCAGAACAATGGCACAAAGGAATTACACATCAATGCATATCTTGGCCTCCATGCAGCAGAGTGTGTGCAGGTACCGTATAAGAATGGGCCTGCCACAAAGCTCCTATAGAATCCTCTGTCCTATATGGTACAGCCTCATATCTTTTGCCCAGGTCACAGTGACAGAGACCACAGTACCTAAAACGGGCCCTGCACGGGGAAGTAGTGAGCATCAGCTTCCCTCTCTCTGCTTCATTAGCAGTTTCAAAAGGGAAAGAAAACTGTAGGTTGGAAAAGAGTTATGTGGTGGAAACAGGAAGGATGTGAAACTATCAGCTCACAGCTATGAAGAAAGCAGCTGACATAGTTGACACCTGCCTCAGGGACAATTTCTGAACCCCCCCCGCCAAGAACTATGCTGGGAACAAAATTGTCTCAGGAAAGGCAAGGGTTTCATCAATTGCTCTGGTTGAGGTTGAGTTATTTACCTAAGGAAATAGCTTTCAAATGTTTCCCCAATTGTCCTATATACTGAGCTCAAGCATCTGCAACCTTCTTTCCACTCCTCCTTTTTACTGTCTTTTCCTTCTCCATCCACTTTTTTTGTTTCATTGCTCCTTCTCCCTCATCTTTCTCTTCTGATATAATGAAGCTGAATTTTAGGCAAAGAAAGTAAATGCTTGGTATTAAGTTATTCCATTTGTTGTTGCTAGGAGATGGCCTCAAAACCTTTTTCCCTTGGGGGGACTCAGGTGGTCCTACAACAGCATGACCAGCAGGAATCAGTAGTGCTTATAAACACGATCTGACAGCTCTTCTTCTGTCATCAGGTGATGGCAGGAGCCAACAGGATGATTTGTTGTTCTCTGCTACCACATCTTCAGCTGTTTTTGTGGATGAAGAATGGAACGCCAAGAGTTGAAAGGGAAAATTATTACTGATATTTAAGGCACAAGGGGCAACCTCATGATATCCTTGAAACCACAAGAATCACTTCCTATGAGTTAACAGGAGAACATTGAATCGACTTGCAAGTTGCTTTTTAGATATGCTTTCTATCCTGTTAGTTGCATGGCCTATTGCAATGGCCCAGAATTAGCCTGCATATATCATAAAGGTGCCTCCAGTTGGCCATATATATATAGTATAGAATACATTTATTGATTATCTTCTGATGCTCTCATTCCCCTACTAGACTCTTCCAGGAAATGGTCCAAGTCTTGCTTATCTTTGAATCTTTAACTCAGTTCCTGGCAAACAGTAAATCTCGATTTGAATTCAATTGAAATTACAGGTAATCTAAGGTGAACTATGAAATAAACTTATAAGTAGTATTTTTCAAAGAAATTCTTAGTAACTAATTGCTTAAAGGCAAATGATTTGGCTTTTTCTTCATTTTTTTGCCTTTTACTCTAGAGAGGCTGACACCTACCCTACCCAGCAAGCATAATGTTAATTTTCACTTCCTGTCTTTCCCTCATATTTTCACCCCTATAGAAGAGACTCTGTAAGGCATTTTATAATTAATTTGTTAATTGTCTATTTTATTGATAAAGTAATTTTGCAAAGAAGAATGCTTTATACATATTCTCAAATGTAAGGTAATCTATATAATCTTTTTACTGTTTGACTTTTTATGAGATCAGTAAGATGGTAGTAAAGAGGTAAATTTTTACACTGGTTATATTTAATCATAATCAAACCTCTATGACAAAAATGATATTGTGTATTATTTATTTTTTTGCATCAGGAATTACTTCAAAATGTAGCAGATTAAAATAATAAATACTTATTGTCTCATACAGTTTCTGAGAGTCAGGGATCCAGGAATTAGATGAGTATTTCTGGTGTAGAGTTTCACATTAATATAGAGTCAAGATGGTGGCCAAGACTGCAGTCATCTGAAGGCTTGACTGGGGCTGGAGAATCTGCTTCCCTAGAATGCTCATTCTCTGTCCCAAGAATGCTCACTCACTGTGGCTGGAAACCTCAATTCTTTGCTGGATGTTGACCAAAGGCCCCAGTTTCTTACCATGTGGATCTTTGATGGTAAGAAAGGTCCTCATGACATGGTATCTAACTTCCCTGATAGCACATGATCAAAGAGAGAAGAAATGAGAGACACACAGACAGACAGAGAGAGAAAAGCCCCAACCATAGTGCCTTTTATGATCCAGTCTTCAGAACTACACTGCCATTTCTGCCACATTTTATTCATTAAATATAAGTCAGTAAGCACAGCCCACACTCAAAGGGAAATAATCAAGTTCCACCTGTTGAAAGGAGGCGTAGCTAAGAATATGTGCACATATTTTAACTCCACAACCATGGGTTTACAACTTTAACTGAACAAACACTTCTTTCAAAAAGAAACATTCTAACAAATGTAGTTTTTCATAATTACTTATATTCTCAAGACTACAATTCAACAGAAGACAGAATGATTACAACACACATCTCTGAATAATATAGAATGCTATGTTTCTCTTAGTAATCAGATTTATCCAGAAAGTTAACTCTATTATGACAAGATTCAGAATGATATAGATTTAACTTACATTAATGGTAATTGATGTGTAAATGTCAACAAGTGAAATGGCAAGTACAATGTCCTGGATATAGTAAGTAGGGTTTAAGTGAGAAATGAGTAGCTGAAGCAGTGAGTGGTGAAAAAGAGTAGTGATAAGTAAAAATGAGAACAGATCATTATAAGTGGGTCAGATGATACAGATCTTGTAAGCTACGTAAGGACTTGAAATATTACTTTATGAATGGTGGACCCTGAGTGGTTTGGGGCAAGGTGTGGCCTAATCTGATGTATTTTTAAAAATCCCTCTTGATGCTATGTGGAAAATTGACTATAATAGTTTAAATGGAGAAACAGGAAGGCAAGTTAGGAGACCATTGCAAAACTCAGGCTTGGACAAGTGTACTAGTTGTATACTTACTAGCCTGCAGTGTAGGTAATTTAAATCTGACTACCTTTTCAAAGTGGAGCCAAAAAGATCTGTTGATGGAGTAGATGTGAGTTATAAGAAAAAGTAATGATAGTTTTGACCACAGACATTGAAATATTGGTGAATCCATTTCCTGGTATGGAGAAAATTATAGGCAGATCAGATTTGGAAAGGAAAAGCAAAAGGTTGTTCAGAATAAATTAAATTTTATATGCATAATAGAAATATTACCAGTTGAGATAAACTATGATGAAGAACCAACAATCCCAAAGTACCATTGGCTTAGTAAGACAATTTATTACTCACTCTTGCTTCAAATCCTCCAGGGTTGGCAGCAGGCCATACCCACTTCAGTCACTCAGAGAGCCAATCTGATGCAGGCTGTCTGTAGACACATGCTTCCCCAATAGACAGCAAAGACAGGAACAGGAATGTGGCCATTACACTGTGGCTCTTTAAGGTTTCTCACGTACATAACATAAAATACTTTCCTGGCTAACAACATGGGTATGAGGGTTCTGAGAAATGCAATTGTACCATGTACCAAAGGTAGGAGAGTATTTATGAACAACCTTAACAATCTCCAGAATATCTAAGCAGAGATGTTAATTAAGCTGATGGACACTTGAAATCTAGAATCCAGGAGAGAGGTTGGACAGGAAATAAATATTTGTGATTGGTTGGCATGTAGACAATATTTAAACTTATGACACAGCTGACATCACCAAGGCAGTGAGATACTAGGATTGAGACCTCACAATATCCAGAAGTAGGAATAGGAATTCGGTGAGGAAGTTGGGTGAGGGGTGAAGTGGGAATAGAACCAAAAATATTCAGTATTTGCTTACAAATGCAAGTAACTTTCTATATTTGTTTGAAATAAAAAGTAGAGATTTTTGTCTGGTCATGTGTGTTTTCTCTGTTAAATAAGAAGCAGTTATCAGCTGAAAACAAGAATGAGGAGAATGTAGTGAAGTTTAAAGAAAAGAGAAAAGGTAAGTACTACTATTCATCTATAAGAGTGGCAGTATGGCTTCCATGGGGAAATGGAGAGGAATTTTTAGGCAACACTGGAGGCGTATTTGAGGTTAGACATCATGAGTTTAAAAATCTGTCCACACAGGCCGGGAGCAATGGCTCACACCTGTAATCCCAGCACTTTGGGAAGCCAAGGTGGGCAGATCACTTGTGGTCAAGAGTTTGAGACCAGCCTGACCAACATGGCAAAACCTTGTCTCTACTAAAATACAAAAAAATTAGCCAGGCGTCGTGGTGCACGCCTATAATCCCAGCTACTCAGGAGGCTGAGGAAGAAGAATCTCTTGAACCCTGGAAGTGGAGGTTGCAGTGAGCTGAGATTGCACCACTGCACTCCAGCCTGCACGATGGAAGCGAGACTCCATCTCAAAAAAAAAAAAAAAAAACCTCTCTCTGCAAATTAGCTATGTGATCTCACCATGATCACCTGCTAAGGTTCATGTGAAGAGTAAAGGCCATATATTTTTGTGTGGGTTTGTGTTTGCCAATACACTATGCAGGGAAAGGAAGAAGTAGTTGAGAGTATATATGAAAATGATTGTTACGACTGCCCATGGAACTTAAACTGAGTAAGCTGGGAAGTGAACATTTGAGGAGGGTGGGGAGGCAATGAAAAGTGGGGCAGGAGCAATAGTTTATGGAAAGATCCTGGAGAATTTGAGAAATCCTTAAAGTTGGGGCACTGAAGAAAGTTAGAAGCGTAAGATGTATTCACTATAGATTGGTAAGGTCTAGACTAAATCATGGGAGTGGATGTCTCAGAACGGAGGACAAGATCTTTGGAGGAAACTGTCAAAGACATGGAAGCCAATGTATTAGAGGAATCATTAGTGTAAAGGAGAATGTCAGTGTTGGGAGAGAAGAGCAACTGACAAGAGCACTCCAGGTTCAGTGGGTCCCTTCCTTAATCACAGGGATGGTGGTGCTCAGGCTGGAGGAAGCTTTATTCTCTTTTAAAGGGCAATGGCAATACACAGAGAGCAAGTACAGAGGAAAAGTTTTTCATCTTAACATTTGTTCTGATGAGACAACTATGGGATATCCAGTATGGAGGTGTCTCATAGGCAGTTAGATAAAAAGGACTGGAATTCAGAAGAGATAGTTATGACAGTGAAATATATTTGGATATCCGTAGCATAGAGATAGCTGTTGTAGTTATGAGGATGAATGAAGTCAATATGTGAAAATATGGAGAACTGGGTGGAGGGGGGGAGAACTAAAGGAAGAATGCTGAATGACATGAACATTTGAATGGTATGCAAAAGAAGAGAAAAAACTAACAAAAATGATCAGGGGTAGGAGAACTATCAAAAGAGAATAAAAATTAACACTTTGCTTTTTGGTAGATGATACAAAACTAAAGGCTAAGGTTAAGTTTGAGAGGATAAGGAAACTTTTTAAAAAGTAAGTGAAAAGAAACTTGTTTTAAGTACTTAGGAATAACCAAATAATAAGTGGATAAATAATTTGAAAGAATCTCACCATCTTTCTTTTTTTTCTGAATTTTTCTTTACAAAACGTTAATTAACCAAAAGCAAAAAAGATAAAGAAAGAGAGGTAAAGCAAAAAAGCTCAATTATCAGCCGATGGTAGGCAAGTGATAAGGCTGGCCTTTTCCCATCATTGTAGCCATGGCTTGTTCCACTTAGAGATGGGGTAGATTTCTGTATGGTGGTCTATCAATGCTGTGATGAATTTTATCAGATCATATCACTTTAGCAAACAATGATGTCACCATCTACAGCAGAGGACAGCACTTTAGTGTATGCTACCTTAAGAATCTTCTAGTTCTAGATACTTGAGGAATCGCCACACTGTCTTCCACAATGGTTGAAGTAATTTACATTCCCACCAACAGCATAAAAGCGTTCCTATTTTTCCACAACCTCTCCAGCATCTGTCATTTCCTGACTTTTTAATGATCACCATTCTAACTGGCATTAGATGGTATCTCATTGTGGTTTTGATTTGCATTTCTCTAATGACCAATGATGATGGACATTTTTTCACATGTCTCTTGGCTGCATAAATGTCTTCTTTTGAGAAGTGTCCATCAATGATAGACTGGATTAAGAAAATGTGGCAAATATACACCATAGAATACTATGCAGCCATAGAAAAGGATGAGTTCACGTCCTTTGCAGGGACATGGATGAAGCTGGAAACCATCATTCTCAGCAAACTATCACAAGATCAGAAAACCAAACACCACATGTTCTCACTCATAAGTGGGAGTTGAACAGTGAGAACACATGGACACAGGAGGGGAACATCACACACCAGGGCCTGTGGGGGGTAGGGGGCGGCTGGGGGAGGGATAACATTAGGAGAAATACCTAATGTAGGTGACAGGTTGATGGGTGCAGCAAACCACCATGGCATGTGTATACCTATGTAACAAAACTGCACGTTCTGCGCACGTAACCCAAAACTTAAAGTATAATAAAAAAAAATTTTTTAAAGAATCTTCACAAAAGAACTCTGAAATGTCAGCATGAGCAGATGATGAAGTATCATAGGAATCCATTTTTTGCTGCATTTCTTATTTAATAGAGAAAAGAAATTTCATATGCTGTAATATGTTTCCAATTGGAAATTAAAATCTGATAGACTTAGTTTCAGTTGTGTGTACGAATGTATAAACATTGATGTATGACATTTTAATGAAGGTATACAGATACTGTTAGAGGTTAAGATGCTAAAAACAGCTTGTTCCAAGTTTGTAAGCCCCATATTTCTCAGGTTTCATATTTGTATCTTAAACTCTCACATATTTCAAGTTTACTAAAACTGTCCTCTTGTAATTCCTGTTAAGAGGTACTTTTAAGTTACATAAACAAATATGGTTTTAATTTGTAGTCAACCTTAAAATATCTGGAAAAATCCTGTGAATTCTCCAGCAAGTCTCCAGACAACCACACTAGTTCAAGTTCAAGTTAGGATACTAATTATGCTAAATTTATTCTTAAAGTAAATAAGAAAACATGGCCTGAAAATTTATCATGGCTTTACCATCTAAACCATGGGTAATTGCCTTTCCAATAAAAAGCATTAACTTTTATTGTTAATGTATTAAGATAACATCCTTAATGAAAGATTAATACCATACATTAAAATGTTAATATTAGTCAACACACGCACATGTAGAAACAATTCAGAGAGTCAGTGGCATTTATACTTGATAAGTATAATATTTCTTTAAGCATTATACTCAATGAAAAATATTTCTATTTTAAACTGGAAGGCAATGTTTTTAAGCATCTGAAAAAAACAAATGAACTCATTTTCATTAACAAATAGAAATTGAGCAATATTTCACTCCTTTTTTTTAATCACTGTTTTCTTTACTCAAGAGAATTATTTGACCCTAAATTTTGCTCAGTTTCTGAGTAGATTCTCAATATGTAAGCATTTTCCTTACAATTGAACTGATTTTTCAAGAGTAAATTTCTTGGAGTCTGCAGATTTTCATCTGCAAAGTCACAAGACACTCAATTCAGATTCCCTTTTTACTGAATTTTGATGAAAAACAAAACGTTTTTATGTGGAGACTTCAACTAAGCTATCTCTACAATACAGTTTTACTAAAAATTGTATTCTAGAGAACAATATTATTCTTGATTAACATATACAGCTGTCTGATTAGGCTGGTTTCTTAAAGTCAGGCTTCTCTTTGGTAAGAGACAGCAAGAGAGACATTTTCAGTGTATTGCACAGTTAAATTGGGTAGAAGGAGGATACACAAGCAGGAAACCCTAAATTTTGGATCAATATAATGACACAAAGGTAACACATGCACTTCTTTAGTAGTTCCAGGAATGCTCTGCTATTTATAGGGTGGAGTTGTAATTACTGCCCATTAACTTGAAGATCCTTACTTTAACCTGTTACTGGTTTAATGATGCTTGTTTGATCATATCCTCCATGCATCATGGCTAATCTTTGTCCTTCAAGTAGTTGACAGAGCTTTCCAGCAGCATTTCTCACTTTATAATGTATTTATCTGCTTTTATGTTTATCATCCTGCCAGCCTGTATTTCTTAAGAAGAAGTCTTAGCCATTTTGTATAACCAGTTCCTAACAGGGTTTACACTGAGAGGCATCTTCATAAATGCCTGTACAAGAGAATGTATTAATATAAACACAAATTGGGTGTATGTTTGAAAGAAAGAAAGAGCATATACACACATACGCATAACACATACATGTATGTGCTCATAACATAATGATATGTACAAATACATTCATAACAGGATATCAAAATTCAAAACTTTCTGACTCAGTTAATGAGGTCTTAAGACAATAGCTACCAACAACTTCTATGCTAGACCAACTTAACAAGACATTCAAAAGAGTTTATAAAATAATTTTCTGATCATGGCCCCTTATAGTCACTTTAAGGCTATTAAAGAACTAAAGCAGAGGAGTACAAGGAGATGGAAACTAAGGAAAGTTTTATTTTGGAGACAGTTGTAAGGGTTTTGCATTCACAGCCTACCACCATTGGGAAGAATTAAAAGAACTTTTCTCTCATCTCACACATTGTGAGGAGGTCTTCAAAGACATCACTTGAGTATGTGGGATGTGTTGCCTGAAGTTTGAGGAGGCACTGGATGGATGTCTGGTTTATGGTGAGATGATGGCTGAGGAGATATGTGGCATGGGAGCAGAAGAGTCCATGTGGAGAATGATTGTATCCGCACCAAGGACAGGTCAAGGACCATATGTACATCTCCACCAAGGACAGATCCATGAACCAGATGTGTAACTTGTAGGAGGAATGTCAGCTCAGGACTTCCTGCGCAGGATAAGAAGACCTCAGCAAAAATTAGCTTAATATTAAGAATCAGGGGGTCTTAGGATGCCTGCTAAAGAAAGGGCACTATACATATCAAGAGCACAGAAGTCAGAGGTGCCCAAGAGAGAAATCTCAAGGAGCCCACCAGCAAGGACAAGGTTCAGTTTAAACATCAATCATGGTCAAATACATCCAATGCCAAATTCATGGTCAAGTAAAATCTGTTCTTGCCAGCCTTCAACCATGAAGGAGTTAGAGGCATCGAGATACTGGACAAGTAGGGTCAGGAGCAATATACAAGAACCTAGAAGAGAAACTTCTCATGCCCTCTTTCTCCCTTGCAGCAGTTCAACTCAAACAAGCTCTAGCTCAAAACAGGGTAAAAATTGAGCTTGCAATGAAGTTCAGAGTTTCAATTATCACACTGGAATATATACATTAATTACTAAATTGAGGGTTTTTTCCTTTTTCTGTGACTGAAGTAACCAGAAGCTCTGATTTTCCAAGAGACCCCAAAAGTCATGGAACCACCCCAAAATTTTAAGAAACAATCCCCCAGGGTAGTTTTATTGGTAATAGGGGATGAATTATATTCTGGTTGTATCTTATGAGCCTTGATTGTTCAGTGTAAACTTTAGAAATGTGACTGCCACTCAGTTTAGAGGGAAAGGCATTCCTGTGTGGTAGTAGAATTTCGGAAATTTGCTTAAATTATTTCTACTCTAAGAAGCGGTACATAAATAAGTTTAATCTGGCCACAGGTCCTCTAAAGACAAACTACTATTGTGTTTGTGTGTGTATGTGTATAAGCTGCTACAGCATTATTAGGAACATCCACAGGATCTACATGTATGTTTATTAATAAATCAAATAATATGTAATTTATTTAAAAATAATAATTTAATTAAAAACTAAGTTCTTTAGAGGAAGAAGACATTCTGTAACCAAAATCTTGGTCCACTTCATTTTCAAAAAGTGATGGCTTTAAACGATTACAAAGTACTCACTACAGGAAAGATTTTGTAGGAAAAATATTCAGGCTTTCTTAGATGCTGAGCGCAAATTTCCTTATCACTGCTTATCATTCCATGCATTTTTCTTCATTCACACATTATCATTTAATGAAAGAAACATATAACTCCAAAACATTTGATATTAACAAAGTTGGTAATGCTAGGAGTTAAACAAATTCTTGAACACATGATTTTGTGATTTTTATTTCTTTGAGGTGATCACATACACACACACACACACACATACACACTTTGCTGAAGAATGTACTAAAAAAAGTTGTTTTAGTGTTTCTCAAAGTGTTTGTTAGCACTGACCGCTACATATCTTCCCTGGGGAAATAATTCTAATATATAATTTATTTTAAAACGTGCTTCTACTGTTCTGTTTTTTAATTTAATCTTTCCATTATCAGCCATGTTGTAACATGCAATTCAACCCTCCTCCTGTGTTTTTCTATTACTTAAATTAACCTTATAAATTGCTTCATAAAATTTGTCATCTATGTGAACTTTCTCCAGCTCACCTGTATTTATCAAGGCCCCCTACCTCCCGCTTCCAAATGAAGTGCAAAACTGAAAAAAAGAGAAAGTATATACCCATAAGAAAATAGAAATATAGTTTAATCACAGAAGAATTCCTAACCTAAACAAATAGGTAAAATATTGGGAAAAGAGATTATCATGTTGTTAAAAGACTCATTCTAATTTCCTCGGGGCTCAACATCCATGCAATATGAGACTATTTTTAAACATCTGGCAAGCTAATGCCTCTCAAATTTTTTTTTTTTTTTTTTTTTTTTTTTTTTTTTTGAGACAGAGTCTCACTCTGTCGCCCAGGCTGGAGTGCAGTGGCATGATCTCAGCTCACTGCAAGCTCTGCCTCCCAGGTTTATGCCATTCTCCTGCCTCAGCCTCCCAAGTAGCTGGGACTACAGGCACCAGCCACCACGCCCAGCTAATTTTTTGTATTTTTAGTAGAAACGGGATTTCACTGTGTTAGCCAGGGTGGTCTCGATCTCCTTCAAATATTTATTTTTTAAGTGTCCCCAGAGTATATTAAATCTCTTCGAGTTTAAAAAATTATTATTGCTCTATTTTTCCGTCTATCTAATAGTATTGTTATTCTTGGTTGTTAAAAATGATATATGTTTGTTATATTAAAAAAGCTCAATATCACTGATCATCAGAGAAATGCAAATCAAAACCACAACGAGATACCATCTCACACCTGTCAGAAAGGCGATTATTAAAAAGTCAGGAAACAATAGAAACTGGCAAGGCTATGGAGAAATAGGAACGCTTTTACACTGTTGGTGGGAATGTAAATTAGTTCAGCCATTGTGGAAGACAGTGTGCCAATTCCTCAAGGATCTAAAACCAGAAATACCATTTGACCCAGCAATCCCATTACTGAGTATACAACCAAAGGAATATAAAGCATACTACTATAAAGACACATGCACAAGTATGTTTACTGCAGCAGTGTTCACAATAGCAAAGACTTGGAACCAACCAAAATGCCCACCAATGATAGACTGGATAAAGAAAATGTCGTCCATATACACCATGGAATACTATGCAGCCATAAAAAGGAATGAGATCATGTCCTTTGCAGGGACATGGATAAAGATGGAAGTCATCATCCTTAGCAAACTAACACAGGAACACAAACCAAACACCACATGTTCTCATAAGTGGGAGTTGAACATTGAGAACACGTGGACACAGAGAGGGGAACAACACACATCAGGGCCTGTTGGGGGTGAGGGGAGGGAACTTAGAGGACAGGTCAGTAGGTGCAGCAAACGACCATGGCACATGTATACCTATGTAACAAACTCGCATGTTCTGCACATGTATCCCCTTTTTTTTAGAAGAAATAAAAACAATGATATATGTTGGTGAGGGAAAAATTACATATGCTTTGGCTGTATTTTATATATTCAGATAATAGTGCCAATACCTAGTGTATAATGTTGTATTTGAATGATTTTTTTTGAATTCAAGGAAAATAAAAGTTTAATGAAGAAAATAAAAAGCTCCCCATCTCCAACATAAAAAGTAACTGCTGCCGCATTTTGGAGGATTACCTTCTCAGAATCACTTTGTGCATTTATTTATATGACACGTGTGTTTTATATCACATGTGAGAGTGAAATTTTATCAACTATATAAACACTTATTCTATTTACACCATTTTAAAAATAATGTCACAATACAATGCAATTTTTTCAATCAACAAGATGTGAAGTCCAAGTCACTTATATTTATGAAACAGGGTTGGCCCTAGGCAAAATTGTAAAATAGACACAGATCTATTTAATTTTTTAGCCTCTCTTTTTGTCCTATCTCGGCTGCCACATTCATGTAAATCTACTGTCAAAAAAGGATCTAATGTGGACACTGTTTAGTTGTTGCTGTTAAAAAAAAATGTTATGCCAATACACTTTACAGGATAAACAATAAAATGCCTCTTTCATGCCTTCATTTTCTTGGGTCTTCAACACTTCTCATAGCCCACCTTTTTTTTTTTTTTTTTTTTACTTCAAATTGCACACAATTAGTGTTTCTTACCTGTTAGTCTTTAGAGATGAGACTTTAGTTAGTCTTTAGAGATGAGAATATCAATTTTTTTGAGCCCATGAACTTTTTAAGAAGAGTGTCATTTTAAAAATCACATGCCAGGCCAGGCATGGTGGCTCACGCCTGTAATTCTAGCACTTTGGGAGGCTGAGGCAGGCAGATCACCTGAGGTCAGGAGTTTGAGACCAGCCTGGCCAACATGGTGAAACCCCATCTCTACTAAAAACAATAATAATAATAATAATAATTAGCTGGGCATGGTGGCAGGTGCCTGTAATCCCAGCTACTTGGGAGGTTGAGGCAGGAGACTCACTTAAGCTTGGAAGGCAGAGGTTGCAGTGAGCCAAGATCATGCCATTGCACTCCAGCCTGGGCAAACACAGCAAAACTCCATCTAAAAAAAACAAAAAAAATCACATGCCGATATGCCTCACAGTCATTAAAAGCAAAGAGATTGTACATAGGTCATTTATACCTGAAATTGAGTAGTTATTTTATTTTATGTGACCTTGGATATTCATATTTTAGGCTAGTTATGGTGGGATTGTCTCAAATTACCATTGGCCATCCAGTTAAAGGAATGTCAGACAGGGTAGACTCTTCTCTATTCTCAGGATACTCAGTACACACATTACTGCAGAACTATTATATTCCATGATTGCTCCATTTTGGTGTTTTTCTCCTTTATTTAGCATACCAGACTGGGTCTGTTGTTTGCCAATGCACAGCAGAAAGCCAAACACCAAAGCATGGGGGTTTTGCAGCAAGAAAAGTTTATTGTGAGCTGAGTGGCAAGGAGATAGGAGGAAACGCTCAAATCTGTCTCCCCAAGCTGGGGGTTGGGGCAGGTTTTATAACAGTGGGTGATGAGGCATAATCTGATTGGATATTGCCATTGGGTGATACCAGGAGGCATACTCTGACTAGATCCTGCCAACAGGTGACTCCAGGGCTCAATCTGATTGGTCCTTATAACCCACCACATAGTGTCTACTTCCTAAATCAGTCCCATTCCTGGGTCTGAGCACATAGGTTCCACTTGTGGTTTGCATACTTGGCTCAGCTGAGCATTCTCAGCTTAGAAGAACTTCTTTCTGATGGGCCATGGCAACTGAAAAGCAACTCAAACCTTTGTTGCATAAAAGTTGAACCACAGTGATCTGATGCTCTACGATGGCAGAAATAGTGCCTTAGTTATCTCTGCTTCTCAGCATCTAACACAATGCCAGGCTCACAGTTCATACCAAAAATGTCTTCATTAAATTGATGAAATCACCTCCCATAAGGTAGTCGTATAAGGCTAGTTTTCTCCAGCGAAATACTTATTTTCTCTCATTTATTTTCAATCTAGATTTCTGTGGAAAACACGCTTCTGTGCTGTACCTTCCATTGAGGATACAGATATACTCCTTTTGGCAAAGAGATAGCATGATGAGCTAGACAGAATTCTGCAACAATTTGAAAGATGATAAATATTCACAGAAAGAAAGAAAAGCAATCCAGGAACAGAGGAAAGTGTGCTGTGCTTAAAGTCAAAGCCAAAGGTGGTTTAAGGTGACCTCCAGGAAAACATGAGCACTCAAAGAGAGGAAATTGATCTTTTCTGTACTGAAGCTAAAAAATCAAAGGGAACTACAAAAAGTTAGATGATTTGAGGCCATGGCAATCCTGAAATAATCATCAAGATACAATTCTGCAACAGAAGAAAGAAGTGTAGCATTGATTCTCTTGCACCTTAATTAGCGTCAGTGGGACTGATTCAGGTAAGGTATCTGTAGCATTTAACCAAAAGAAATTTATCTGTAACTAAAATATTTTCACAAAAATGAAGAGTAGAAGAATGGTGTTAAGAAATGCAAAACAAAATGCTTGAACATTTCCAGGTGGAAATTGGTTAGTCCCCAAATTATCCCACAACTCACAAGGAAGGCAGAGTTGCTCACAATTTAACATTCTCACACCTGAGGCCTTTGGTCAACCATTCTCTAAAGCTGAAGAAAAACAAACAAAAGCTCCATCCTAACTGAGTACTGGAGTACTGGAGTCAATGTTATTTTCATCAATGAAAGGAACTCATGTCACAGGCGAGGGTTTGCCCTCAACACACTATAGTCTGGAAACTAGTTCCTTATTTTTTGAGATTCACTAAAAAGCCTTTTTCTTTTTCTTTTCCCTTTATATTTACTATTAGCTATGCAAACCCACATAGGTCAACAGGACCACAAACCAGAAATAGATGAGCCCTAATGAAATCAAAGTAGAAAATCACTGTATGTTTCAAATAGCACCCACACCACCGGGAATGTACTTTTTCAAAATTCTCTGCTTCTGCCAAGAAATGCACCATGGTGTGAATAATGAAAATGAATAATGCAAAGCATAATGGAGTACACAATTTGCACATCAGTCACAGTTTTCCTCCTCAGACTGATAGACTTCAGAAATTACAAACAAGACTGTTTAAAATCCAGACCAACAGGAGCATTAAATCGGAACAGAGGCCAGCTGGATGTGAGAGCCCATAAGTAATGGTGCTGTATTTAGTCATCTGAAGAGAAATTATAATGGAGATCCATAATAAATGGTAGGCAACACACCTGACAAGTGATTGGTTTGGAGAATACACATGACAGCAGGAAGAGTTCTTGACTCAGCTCAGCACAACACATTTTGGAAGTCGCATGAACCTAACACTTTGACTTAGCATTTTCAAAGAGCTTGGAAATAAAAAGTCAAAGAGATTTTTGATGATGAGCAAAGACTTTTCCTGACCTGTGGTCCCCTTCATTATAATCTGGTCAACCACTCCAGCAAGGTTGTGCTCCTTACTTTCTTTGTATGGTCAGACAGGGAAAGGGCTTTAATGGTAGAACTTATTTTAATCTTAGTGAGAGAGCCAAAAAAAAAAAAAAAAAAAATCCCAAGAGCTCTGCTATCAGAGAATGAAAGTTAAAGCCTTTTCTGAACAAAATGAAAAATCCAAAATAGATCTTCCACAATTAATTAGTTTATTTTCATATATGACTTAGAAAATAACTGTCCCCAACTGCTTGTCCCTACATGTTCTTTCAAACATGCACTATATGCAATAAGGAATATTCCACATCTGCTCTTAAGAGAAATGAATTTAATTGCTAAGCTGCTAATGGGGCGTTTTCTCCTGTAGAATTTCTACCCATCTGCACACTCTGATTACCACATCCTCATCAGATCTTGTCTACTTCAACCTTTCTTCCTAAATGATCATCATTAATCCCATCTATGGTATCTCTAAATATGGGAAATGAGTCTAGAGTAATAATGATGTCTGATTATGTTGCCATTTTCCGTGGGAAAAGAAAAAAGATTGAAATTTCAAACTTCTCTCCCCCACCCCAAAACAAAACAAACAAACAAACCAAAAAAATCCTCCAAGCTGGATAGACAAATCCTAGAACATGATGGGAAAAAAAGTCAACTTACAGCTCGAAATTATAAAGACATGCTTGGGATAAAAATACCTGATAGAGAATTCTGGACTCTTAAGAGAAGCCATTAAATTATTTCTGGAATGCTAGAAACTTCTCTGTAACTTGTGGCAGAGAATTACACAAGTAACATACTTAAGGGAATCTTCTCACTTCTTTTAAAAGAATTTTTTAAAACAAAAATGGGTGAAGGTATAATAAACACCATTTTAAATTTAGTGTATCCTTATCTGCCCTAAACTTTAAGCATCATGAATGAGTTTGATTCAATTGGTATGGTTTTATGTATGTATGTATATATTTATTTTTAACTTTTATTTTCAGTGAAGGGGTACATGTGCAGGTTTGTTATATTGGTACACTACATGGCCTGGGGGTTTGGTGTACATACTATTTCATCACCCAGGTAACAAGCATAGTACCTGGGAGGTACTTTTTCTGATCTCTTCCTCCTCCCACCCTCCACTCCAAGTAGGACCCAGTGTCTGTTGTTCACCTCATATTGTTCATGTGTTCTCGTTGTTTAGCTCTTACTTGTAAGTGAGAACATGTCACATTTGCTTTGCTGTTACTACATTAGTTTGCTTAGGATGATGGCCTTTGGCTCTTTCCATGTTGCTGCAAAGGACATGATCTCATTCATTTTATGGCCGTATAATATTCCATGGTGTGTATGGTATCACATTTTATTTGTCCTGTCTACCATCGATGAACATTTAGGTTGATTCCATGTTTTTGCTATTATGAATAGTGCTGTGATGAACATATGCAGGCATGCATCTTTATGGTAGAACAATTTATATTCCTTTGGGTATATACCCAATAATGGGATTGCTGGGTTGAATGGCAATTCTAAGTTCTTTGAGGAATCACCACAGAGCTTTGCACAATGGATGAACTAATTTACACTCCTACCAGCAGTATATAAATGTTCCTTTTTCTCTGCAACCTGACCAACATCTGTTATTTTTTGACTATTTAATAATAGTAATTCTGACTGTTATGAGATGGCATCTCATTGTGGTTTTGATTTGCAGTTCTTTAATGATTAGTGATGTTGATAACTTTTTATGCCTGTTGGCCGCATGTATATCTTTTGAAAAAATGTTTGTTCATGTTCTTTGCCCACTTTTGAGTGAGACTGCTTGTTTTTTCCTACAAATTTGTTTACATTACTTATTGAATCTGGATATTAGACCTTTGTCAGATGCATAGTTTGCAAATATTTTCTCCCATTCTGTAGGATAACTATTTACTCTGTTGATAGTTTCTTTTGCTCTGCAGAAGCTCTTAAGTTTAATTAGATCCCATTTGTCAATCTTTGTTTTTGTTGCAATTACTTTTGGTGTCTTTGTCATGAAATCTTTGCAAGGTCCTATGTCCAGAATATTATTTTCTAAATTAAAGGATATGAACAGACATTTCTCAAAAGAAGACATTTATGCAGCCAACAAACATATGAAAAAATGCTCATCATCACTGGTCATTAGACAAATGCAAACCAAGGTTTATATAGTTTGAGGTTTTACATTTAAGTCTTTAATTCATCTTGAGTTCATTTTCGTTTATAGTGTAGGGAAGGGGTCCAGTTTCAATCTTCCACAAATGGCTAGCCAGTTATCCCAGCACCATTTATTGAATACTGAGTCCTTTCTCCATTGCTCGTTTTTGTCAGCTTTGTCAAAGATCAGATGTTTGTAGGTATGTAGCGTTATAACTGGACTCTCTATTCTGTTCCATTGGTCTATGTGTCTGTTTTTGTACCAGTATCATGCTGTTTGTAGAATATAGTTTGAAGTTGGGTAACCTGATGCCTCCAGCTTTGTTCTTTTAGCTTAAGATTGCCATGGCTATTTGGGCTCATCTTTGGTTCCACATGAACTTAAAAATAGTTTTTTCTAGTTCTGTGAAGAATGTTGTTGGTAGTTTTGTAGAAATGGCATTGAACCTGTAAATTGCTCTGGGCAGTATGGTCATTTTAAGAATATTGATTCTTCCTATTCATGAAAATGGAATGTTTTTCTATTTGTTTGTATTATCTCTGACTTCTTTGAGTAGTGTCTTGTAATTCTCATTGTAGAGAACTTTCACCTCCTTAGTTAGCTTTACACCTAGATATTTTATTCTTTTTGTAGCAACTGTGAATGATATTGTGGTCCTGATTTGGCTCGCAGCTTGGATGTTGTTGGTGTATAGGAATTCTAGTGTTTTTTGTACATCAATTTTGCATCCTGGAACTTTGCTAAAGTTGTTTATCAGATTAAGTAGCTTTTGGGCAGAGACTATGGGGTAAAAGTGGAAGACTTTACTATCCCACTGACAGTATTAGACAGATCACTGAGACAGAAAATTAACAAAGATATTCAGGACCTGAACTCAACACTTGACCAAACAGACCTAATAGACATCTATAGAACTCTTCACCCCCAAAAAACAGGATATTCATTCTTCTCATTGCCACACGTCACACACTCTAAAATCAACCACACAATTGAACATAATACTCAGCAAATTCAAAAAACCGAAATCATACCAACCATACTCTCAGACCACAGCAAAATAAAAATAGAAATCAATACTAAGAAAATGGCTCAAAACGATACAATTACATGGAAGTTAAACAACCTGCTCCTGAATGACTTTTGGGTAAATAAAGAAATTAAGGTAGAAATCAAGAAATCCCTTGAAACTAATGAGAATAAAGATACAACATACCAGAATCTCTGGGAAACAGCTAAGGCAGTGTTAAGAGGGAAATTTAGAGCACTAAACACCCACATCAAAAACTTAGAAAGAGCTCAAATTAACAACCCAACATCACAACTAGAAGAACTAGAGAAGCAAGAGCAAACTAACCCCAAAGCAAGCAGAAGATAAGAAATAACCAAAATCAGTGCTGAAATGAAGGAAATTGAGACACAAAACCATACAAAAGATCAACAAATCCAGGAATTTTTTGAAGAGTTAGTAAGACAGACTGTTAGCTAGACTAATAAAAAGAGAAAGACAATCCAAATAAGCACAATTAGAAATGATAAACAGACATTACTACTGACCACACAGAAATACAAAAAAAAAAAAAAAAAAAAAAAGATCAGAGACTACCATGAACACGTCTATGCAGACAAACTAGAAAATCTAGAAGAAATGGATAAATTTCTGGATGCATGCAATCTCCAAAGACTGAGCCAGGGAGGAAATTGAATCCCTGAAGAGGCCAATAACTACTTAAGAAATTGAATCAGTAATAAAAAGCCCAAAAGCCTGCTAAACAAATAAAGCCCAGTACCAGATGGTTTAACAACTGCATACTACCAGATGTATAAAGAAGAGCTGGTACCACTGCTACTGAAACTACTATAAAATTGAAGAGGAAGGGCCGGGCGCGGTGGCTCATGCCTGTAATCCCAACGCTTTGGGAGGCCGAGGCGGGTGCATCACCTGAGGTCAGGAGTTCGAAACCAGCCTGACCAACATGGTAAAACCCCATCTTTACTAAAAATACAAAAATTAACCAAGCGTGTTGACAGATGCCTGCAATCCCAGCTACTGAGGAGGCTGAGGCAGGAGAATCGCTTGAACCCAGGAGGTGGAGGTTGCAGTGAGTCGAGATTGCGCCATTGCACCCCAGCCTAGGCAACAGAGCAAGACTCTGTCAAAAAAAAAAAAAAAAAAGAAAAAGAAAAACATAAAAAACAAAACACCAACCCAACTGAAAAGGAAGGACTCCTCTCCAACTCATTCTATAAGGCAAGCTCATGCTGATAATAAAACAAAAAAGAAAACTTCAGGCCAAACCCTTGATGAACACGGATGCAAAAATCCTCAACAAAATACTAGCAAACTGAGTCCATCAGTACATCAAAAAGCTGATTCACCATGATCAAGTAGGCTTCATCCCTGGGATGCAAGGTTGGCTCAACATACACAAATCAATAAATGTGGTTCATCATATAAACAGAACTAAAACCAAAAACCACATGATTATCTCAATAGATGCAGAAAAGGCTTTTGATAAAATTCAATATTCCTTTACGTTAAAAACACTCAATAAACTAGGGATTGAAGGCACATACTTCAAAGTAATAATAGCCATCTTTGACAAACCCACAGCCAACATCATGTTGGATAGGCAAAAGCTGGAAGCATTCTCCTTGAAAACTGGCACAAGACAAGGATGCCCTCTCTCACCACTCCTACTCAACATCATATTTGAAGTCCTGGCCAGAGCAATCAGGCAAGAGAAAGAAATGAAGGCATTCAAACAGGAAGAGAGGAAGTTAAACTATCCATTTGTAGATGACATGATTCTATATCAACTGGGATTTGTAAAAGCCACAGACAAAAGAAACAAAATTAAATTAAAAAGACTTTTATCTGCTTTTCTTCAACATATAGCTTTGTTTTTATGGCAACTGTTAAAACTGAGAGTATTATAGGGAGAAAAATCCACCCTGATTATATGCAATATTCATCTAGACCAATATAATTTTCCCTGAAAAATAAATAATACATTTAAAGCCAAAAAAGTTTAAACCATACTCATATCAGTTAGGATTTGGTAGAGAACATAGAAGCTGCCCTAAAAATTCTAAAGAGGAAGTATTTTAATACAGAAATTAAGAGTGCATACACAATTATAAGAGCCAGAGGAGGCGGGGGTTAGTAAAGTCACTGACACCAGCATCAGCTGCCTGCAACACCAAAGTGGCTTACTCTTACCAGCTCACCTGTGAACTTTACTTCTGCCCTGCACCTGTGAGGCTCCTGGAAACTGCTGCCACTGGAGAATAAAGACTTCTCCCTCTCTACCATTTTCCAAATCACATGAGCATCTGTCTCATTGGTAGACTCTAAGCCAAAATCATGGAAAAAGAAATTCTGACAAATGAAAGTAGAGGTTCTTCTCGCAATCCAGAAAAGAATATGGAAGAGTTTGGCAATAAATATTTGTTGCATGAATGTATAAGAGGATGAATAAATGAAAGAAAAAATTCTTGTCTTGGCATTTAGAACATTTATAAGATATATGGAAAATGAAATAGGTAGAATGAGAAGAAGAAGAGTTAGTTATGGTATTTGAACATTTAAGTGATTTAAGTTAATGTAGCCTGAATGATTCACTTCATGAAAGAGCTTCAACTACTACCAGTTGATACTCGTTATATCTTTAGCATTAGCAAGGTTCCTGTTTTATCAGCTATATTGACCACCCTATTTCTGATCAGAAAGTCTTTCTTCAAATTCTGTAGTGATATTGACTAGTTTTCTACTTAATAAATTGAAGACACAATGAAGTTTTGCCTCCCAAAGATTGCTATTCCTAACCATCTTGATTGAAATTTTGGGTTCCCAATCTTTTCAGTCACGTATTTATAGACACACTTTCATCTATTCCTAGGGATGGCTAATCATATCCCAGAGATGTTAGGAATTTAACTCGCAAAAAGCAGCTTGATTCTTTTTATTTATGTGATTATTGCTGTATGTGCACCAATAACTTGAAGAAGCATTCTGTTGACAGTTTCTGCAACATTCCTAATGTTTCCACATTTTCATTAGTTTTTTAAGTTAGCAATTATGTTCTTAAAACATAAGCAACTGATACAATCCACAGACAAAAGATACATATTCTAGTTTCTAAAATAAAGGTAATAAAATTTCTGGAGCTGTGATTAAAACATTCTGCCATCAACAAACGGTGACAGCTTTAAAATATTACTAGAGTCAATCCTTCAGTGCAAGGAAAATCGTTGTTTTAATACTATAATAATTGTTCCATGAAAACGCCATTCTACATTTTATAGTTATTTTACAAATTTCCATTAATATGTTGCTTAGGATAAAATATGAATATACCATAATAATTCATTTAAAGTAGCTCTGATAGATACTGGATGTTTCTTCTAAAAACTATAACCACTAATTAGATCATCAGATGACAACATATTGGCAGGAGTGTGGAGTCACGGTAAGCGTGCCCAAGGAGAGCTTAAAATTGTTTGGTTTGGAGCTTATGGAGGTTGTGATGTCACCCCACATCACTGGTTTTCTTTTGCCTGGCTAAAAGTTACCTAAAAATTCATGAACACATGGTAATTCAATAGGAATTGTGTTTATGTGCTCTGCACAACAGCTTGGAGGGTCACAAGGTGCAAAGTTCTGTGGAATTAGTTTTCATTGACTAAATAATTCCTTTAAGCAGCTTCGTTTTTCTTCTCTTCATTCAGCACATGGAAGGAACTGAGGTCTAGATGGGGCTTTGTGGAATACAGAATCAAACAGATTATAAAAATAAATTTGAGGTTTTAAAAAAATAATAAACACCAATTTTTAAAACATTCTTTAAACAGAAGCAGCAATTTTTGTATGGATGAGACAGAAGTCATCTGGGAGCTACTTATTTCAAAATGCAGCTAGTTATGTGTATTTATGACACACAAAAATTTCTGCCTACATGTACTTCTCACTGTTTAGTTCAGTTCTTTTACTGAGAACATGCTCTTCTGAAAGCTTCTGTTAAAGAAGTCCTCAAAGCCACAGAAGCACAGATTGCTAGCGTGCCCGAAATTCGTGGGTTCTTGGTCTGACTTCACAAATGAAGCCGTGGAGCCTTGCGTTGAGTGGTACAGTTCTTAAATATGGTGTGTCCAGAGTTTGTTCCTTCTGATGGGTTTGTGGTCTCGCTGGCTTCAGGAGTGAAGCTGTAGACCTTTGCGGTAAGTGTTACAGCTCTTAAGGCAGCGCGTCTGGAGTTGTTCGTTCCTCCAGTCCAGAAGTGCTCATTCCTCCCGGTGGGTTTGTGGTCTTGCTGGCCTCAGGAGTGAAGCTACAGACCTTCACAGTGAGTGTTACAGCTCATAAAGGCAGTGCGGACCCAAAGTGTGAACAGCAGCAAGATTTATTGCAAAGACTGAAAGAACAAAGTTTCCACAGTGCAGAAGGGGACCCCAGTGGGTAGACACTGCTGGCTTGGGCAGCCTGCTTTTATTCCCTTACCTGGCCCCAACCACATCCCACTGATTGGTCCATTTTACAGAGAGCTGATTGGTATGTTTTACAGAGCTGATTGGTGCATTTATAATCCCTGAGCTGGACACAAAAGTTCTCTAAGTCCCCACTAGATCAGCTAGACACAGGGTGCTGACTGATGTGTTTACAAACCTTGAGCTAGACACCGGAGTGCTGATTAGTGTATTTACAATCCTTTAGCTAGACATAAAGGTTCTCCAAGTCCCCACTAGATTAGACACAGAGCACTGATTGGTGCATTTACAAACCTTGAGC
Organism: Homo sapiens; assembly: GCF_000001405.40. Taxonomy (NCBI): domain Eukaryota; kingdom Metazoa; phylum Chordata; class Mammalia; order Primates; family Hominidae; genus Homo; species Homo sapiens. Next base: position 76,190,631 of record NC_000013.11, on the reverse strand, counting down.
TAGACACAGAGTGCTGATTGGTGTATTTACAATCCCTTAGCTAGACAAAAAGGTTCTCCAAGTCCCCACTAGATTCAGGAGCCCAGGTGGCTTCACCTAGTGGATACTGCACCAGGGCCGCAGAGGGGAGCTGCCTGCCAGTCGCAGTGCCGTGTGCCCGCACTCCTCAGCCCTCGGGCAGTCCACAGGACCGGGTGCCGCGGAGCAGGGGGTGGTGTTCTTCTGGGAGGCTCCTGCTATGCAGGAGCTCACGGCGGTGGGGAGAATTGGGCATGGTGGGCTGCAGGTCCCGAACCCTGCGCCGCGGGGAGGCAGCTGAGGCCCGGGGAGAGTTCGAGTGCAGTGTCGGCACTGCTGGGGGACCCGGCGCACCCTCCACAGCTGCTGGCCCGGGTGCTAAGCCCCTCACTGCCCCGTCCGCGGCACCGGCTGGCTGCTCTGAGTGCGACCGCCAAGCTCACGCCCACCCGGAACTCACGCTGGCCCGCGAGCACCGCATGCAGCCCCGGTTCCCGCGGGCGCCTCTCTCTCTACACCTCCCCGCAAGCAGAGGGAGCTGGCTCTGGCCTCAGCCTGGGCTCCCACAGTGCAGCGGCGGGCTGAAGGGCTCCTCAAGCGCGGCCAGAGTGGTCGCCCAGAGCGAGCGAGGGCTGCGAGGGCTGCCAGCATGCTGTCACCTCTCACGAGGAATTTAGATCCCTGCGGGAATAGGATTTAGAATGCGTGCCTTCTTTTTTTTTTTTTTTAAATAGAGACAGGGTCTCACTGTGTTATCCAAGCTGGTCTCAAACTCACAGGCTCAAGCAATCCTCCAGCTTCAACGTCCCAAAATGTTGAGATTGTAGACTTGAGCCACCACACCTGGCCTAGAATGGGTGACTTTTAATAGCTTAGCAGTTGCCTTGGACATTAGCCAGAGCTCCAATATACAAAGCTTGGGTGATCTTACAGTGAAGGCAGCCTGAGAACTAAGGTCATCCAGATGAGTTGATTAAGGTAAGAATGGAGGGAAAAGGGGGCCAAAGAAAAAGGCTAAATTCACATTTCCACCCAGGGACAACCCTGAGCAAACAAAATATTGAAAAACAAAACAAGCTGAGCAAAAACTGTAAAGAAAGAGTTGAATGGGACAAAGGAGAGGATATAAGAACAAGGCTATGCATGAAACCCTGCACCCCATTTCTCAAGAGCCTCTAATTTAGCCATATCATATTTGTAGATGTCAATCGGGATTCAATGCTTGTGCCTCTAGCAAGAGTTCACAGTATATTGCTTGATAAAAATCTTATTATTCATAAGGTATTGTTATCTAATAATCATTTTAATAAAGTAAATGGCATTATTTATAGCTTGAGTACATTTTGATGCATATTTAGTGACATAAAATATTTGATTTGATTTGATTATGAGCATATATCTACGTCATGTTAATATACATATTCAGACCCAGAGCGAGATACATACATATATACACACACACAGATATATACATACACACACACACACACACACACACACACATATACGTGTGTGTGTGTGTGTGTGTATGTATGTATCTCGCTCTGGGTCTGAATATGTGTGTGTATATATATACATATATACATATATATACATATATAGCGAGCATTCCCACTGATTAGTTAGAATGCAGTTAAGTTCTATGCTTCCTAATTAATTATATTGACCAATATCTCACTAGTGGTTCCAAGCCCAGCAAGCAAGGGTACTCCCTTTAGGGAATGGAGGGACAGGAAAGACAGAGTGGGCATTAAACTGCTCAACATCGAAAACTTACCCAGGTAGGAAAGATCATTAGAATCTCCCATCAGGCGGCTCTGGTGTCTTTAGAGGAAAGGGCTTTCATAGAAGGAAGGGTCAAGTACATTTGAGCTTCATTGGAACAGAATAATAAGCCCCAATTTATAAGTGTCATACTTCTAAAATGAATCCCACTACTTTTAGAGGAGGAACCATTCTCACAGAAGTTATGCAGTTGAGTCTCTCCCTGTTTTCAGGATTGTGATGATTTGTGTAACTATCATTAGTAACAGAAACAACAGTGGTCCTGGAAATAGAATTACCCATCTCTCTTTCATCAGCATGGAGCTCCTGAAGCTGAGAATAGGAAATGTAAATATGAAAGGTCCCAGTCTTTCTTGAACCTTCAAGAAGCTAGCTATTGCCCTTTCTTCCTGACTTGGGGATACCTAATTGCGCTGTAGTTAACTGGATATTATGTTAAATTATCTGGAAAAAGCTCAAGGTTTTAGGGAAATACTGTATGTAAATATAAACAAATAAAAATAAATATATTACATAATATGGATTGGGTTCCTTTAAAGTATTTTCATATGTGTCTTTATGAAATTTAACATGAAAAGAACTCCCTTTAGGTAGAATTAAAGGAGTCGTATTTACCAGATGGGCCCAATCTATACATTCAGTCCTTATCTTGGTGCCCTAGCTAGGTAAGCAAAGCTTTTTAAAATAGCACCCAAACTAGGACAGGCTGTGCTTACTTGGTTGGCATCCTGTAAACTCCCATTGGAACAAGAGCTTTCCATGGGCTCTCTTTCATTGTCTGAGACCCTCACACTGACCCTGCTTAGTTATGGCTCTGAACCTGCCCTCGTTCATCTTCTCTGGCCAGGTTTGGGGTCCTCTAACAATCTCTTGGTAGACAAGTGTGGTCCATTTCCAAGGTTTGGCTAGGTTACTCCCATCTGTAGGCTAAGAATGAGCTCATCCTAATTCACAGTGATACTAGAAAATAAAGACCACTTTTGCCAGTCAGTTTTTGAGGACAGCATTATTTTAGTATCTTATCAAACTGGCATTATTTTTCTTTTAATATTCAATATGATCATACTGTTGAATTTCTGAGCACTTGGCAAATCCACAGAAATGTACATGTAACTATCAAGGCTCACCTGCCCTTAATTTAACATTACTTACAAGTTTGACTGATGGAATTATTATGCTTTGTACTAATAAATCCTACCTGGCAATATCAAAGTATGTGTTAATTAGATTAAAGCACAATATTGATTTAGATATTCTGATCTAAACAAGCCCTTACTTTGCCTGCTACTCTTGTCAGCATCTCAATTGTTTTGCTAGTCCTGCTTCTAACACAACAGATTGCTTTGTAGTCAGGGAAAAAGACTTTACGATGCATTTATTGCCATCTAAATATCCCCTTTGTGGTTTTCAAAATTACATTTAAATAGTAAGAAAATCATCATGTCTTGCTTCTAATTGGCTTCAGGTGCAACATTTATTTTAACTTGAACTTCCCTATATTGAACACAGTAATCAGTTATTTCAAAAAATGTGAAATTATTATCCTAGTGGCATTTCTTTATGCCTTTTTAAAGAATAATTCATTTTGAATGATGCAGATACACCCAGAGGAAGTAGTATGAAGCCAAACTCCTGTATCTCAAGGAAATCACAGACTACAATGTTCAATTGCAGGTTGGATCCTGAAGTCATGGCCAGAATTCATCTTTCATGCCTTCCCAAGCATCAGTTTCTAGTTAAGACTTCTCTATAGTTATGAGCCTATCTAGTAGACTCATAGTCGAAGTGCTTGGTGAATGTTTGACCCAGCCTACTACGTGTTCTCCGCCATGCAGACAAGAGCACAGGGCTTTGTACATTACTTTTTTCTTCTGCAGTGCTCTTTCCATCAGGACTCATATTATTAATATGCACTCTTCAGGCTTAGACTGCATGTCCCAGGCACAGATGGGGACAGTGGTTTTCCCACTCTAATAGTCACTTCTTTACCCTTTATTTTCGAAACACAAAGAAAACATCAATCTTCTAATTTCTGTTCTAGATAATGCTACTGTGAGAGTAAGTGATGTTCTGTTTATATGACAATTCAAAAATACCCTCCCCATATGCAAGAGGTATTATGAAAAATAATAATTTAACTTTCAGTAAATGATTCTGTGATAAAATTACATTTATGAAAATTTGAAAGGCAAGTTCTCATGGCAACATTAGGTTGAACACACTCTATCTTATTAAGGGCTCATTTTAATACACTAATTATTGTTGAAAACCCTATGCATGAGTGACATGGGTGAGTTCACATTGCTAAGGCAACTTGTACCAATCATGTTCGCTGGACTTCCTTGACTTGACATTAAGCAAAATTTACATAGAATCTATGTGAATTCATTTGGATGTATTAGTTTCAAGTGTTTACTTAACCATTGTTCCCATTAGCTCTCCAAAGCTTCAGTTAGATTCTCAAGGGAGATAGATCTCTATTGTCTCTATGGATTTCAATATATGATGTAGTGCTCCATTTGACAAAATGCATGACCTAGGTGGACTTTGAAAGTCAAGTAGGACATGGAATGATGAATAAAGACCCAGTCTCTGTCCTTAAGGACCTTATAATTCAGGAGGAAAATAAGGTATAAACTCCAGTAATTTTAATATGAGACAGCATAGTCCCTTTGAAAATACAAATGTTTACAGCAACAGTACACAAGATAAAAATCTAAATTCCTTAGCAGAGAGCGTAAGACCCTTTATGATATTGTTTATTTCTACATTTCTAGTCTTATCTTCATCCACTCTCTGCTTTATCCCACATCAAGTTCTAAGAGAAACATTTTTCAGATTTCCCATAGTAATTTGTGCTTATCTCTAATATAATCTATGTGACATAACTTAATAAATGTTGTTTGAACAAATAAATGACCAAATTCGGAGAAGTGGTCACTTCCAGATGGTATAAGCAGCAAAGAGTTAAGGAGGTTGTGGTATTTGAGCAGTAAAGGATGGGTAAGATTTGAATGAGATGCAGCTCAGAGTGTTTAAGATATAAAGGCTGGAAATTTCAGGTACAAAAAACTATACCATTTTTGGTTTCTACAGCAGAAGAATGAAGGCCAGACTGGGAAGGTAAATTGGAACCAGAAAGAGATTATTCTAAAATGATGCAAAGTATTGTTATTGGTATAGCTGCAATGTTAGATTACCATTTAAGGGCAAAAATTGAAAGCTTAGCAAGAGATTCTGAAAGATTAGATTTTCTAGCATTCTAAAATGAGTGTATTGACAAAATTGCTATTCTATGTAAGAAAATAGAGTTTGTAGTTGGAAAAGCTGGTCAGGGAACTGCAGCAACAAGGCTATGCATTGTTTGTGAATTTTCCCTGGATATTTCATGCACTCATCCTGCCCTATCTGCTACCAACAGAATATTTAATTGTTTCAAGGACAGAGCCTCAAGTTTTCCATGATACCCAGCACAATATAGCCATAACAGAAGGGCAAGCATATTACAGCAAACAACAACTTTCAAGAAGGGCATAAAATCTATGGCCACTAATGTCAAAGTGAAAAGATGATTGAAGTAGGATAAAGATGTATCCAACTTTTCATTTTTAAATTTCTTCTTCATGGCTTCTTCCCAAAAAATGGGATAGAACTGAGTGTGGTAAGATTTTTCTGGACTGAGGAAGTTTAACTAGACTGGAGAACAAGTTGATTTGGACAAAGTTGAGATTTCCATCTTTCCAAACTCTCCTCGTGTCCTCACACAGAGTATCATCAAATGGAAACTGATTTTCAAAACTTCAGAAAAAACAGTCAAGTATGCAAATCTACTGCTAATCGATAAGATAGAGAAAATAATAGTACTTACTTTCTAAGGTTGTTGGAAGGGTTAGATGGGTTGATGTATGTGAATACATTGGAGTCATGCTCTGAACAGTGCAATATAAACATTATCATTATTATCTTTTTTTAGCACCATATTCCCATAACCACTCTCCAGACAACTTTGCCCTAAAAACCTCTTCGTCTTTGAAATCCTAAACTTCAATATCCCGTTCTCTAAAGACAACATTGTATTCTTTCGGTCTCCTTATTTCCCTACTAATATCCTAACTTCTTATGGGACTTGTTGGAAGTCTCTTGAAATTTCCTTCTGCTCTTGGTCTCTTTGTTTCCACCTGAGTTTATTTCCATCTTGTCATTACATGAGTCCACATAATTCCTTTCACTCCTCTCAATTTGTGCAGTCTACAAGTAATGAAATTCTAGTTGTTCTTTTGTGGTCAAAATGGTTGTATGCACTCTTTGCATTCTCCTTTTTACCATTTTCCAGTGAAACTATTCTTAAAAAGATGCGTAATTGTTTTAGATAACCAACATAGTTGATTTGAATGGTACTTCATTTCAAGGAAAAATTAAAGCAGCTTTCCTGAAGTTAGCAAGAGACTTGCAGGTGAGTACCATAATATGTGAGATGTTAAATTTGGCCCAATATGACACATATTCCTCAACATAACCCCATTCACCTTCCTCTCTTTGGTAATAATTACGTAGAGCAGCTGGTGAGAAAATGAAGACCAGCTTTGCTGTGTCCACCTCCTTATAGTCACTTCTTTCCTATCTGCTCTCCACCAGCATGGGAAAAACTGGGGACCAGGTGATCTTGAACTGATGAGAATACACTTTGAGGATACACTTCAACCATTATCATCTTGACTCTTTTCCTTCCTGCCTTTCTGTATTATAAGTAGGTGGGGGAGGATGTCTTTGGGGTTTTATCTTCTATGATTGGGTTTCAAAAATATTATTTTGATACCATACTAGAGTTTCAGAATATTACTAGACCTTAAGAAAAAGAAAACATTTTCATAATACCTGAGGTTATAGATTTATCAAGCAATTGATTGTTGGTTCAACTATATGACAAGATTGCTGCTTTTTAGGTGATTTTTTATACTCTGATATCTCCCCCTAAAATTACATATAATTTAAACCTTGTCTTGAAAAAGTGTGTGTAATTCATTAACTTGTTAGGATTTATGGCCTGCTCTATTAATATTATTAAAACACAATATTCCTTATTAATACATTATTACAATTAGTATGGGTTTATTGAAGGATAATTGACATATCATCAACTGCATATAGGTGTCTATCTTGATAAGCTTTGACATATGTATATACCTATTCATATGGTTTGGCTGTGTCCCCACCAAAATCTCATCTTGAATTGTAGCTCCCATAATTCTCACATGTTATGGGAGGAACCTGATGCGAGAGCATTGAATCATGTGGATGGTTTCCCCCATACTGTTCTCTCTCATGGTAGTGAATAAGTCTCATGTGATCTGACAGTTTTGTAAGGGGAAACCCCATTCACTTGACTCGCATTCTCTCTTGTCTGCCATCATGTAAGACGTGCCTTTCACCTTCCACCATGATTGTGAGGCCTCCCCAGCCCCGTGAAACTGTGAGTCCATTAAACCTCTTTCTTCTATAAATTACCCAGTCTCGGGTATGTCTTTATTAGCATCATGAAAACAGACTAATACACCTATGAAACCTGAACGATAATCAAAATAATATCCATTACCTCCCAAAAGCTTATTCGTGTCTTTCTTTAATCCTTCTCTTCCCTTCCTTCCCCTTGTCCTCTCTTCTTTGGGCTCAGGTAACCACTCATCTGCTTTCTGGAATGATAGATTAGTTTCCATTTTCTATATTTAGTATCACATAATATGTATTCTTTTTTGTCTGGTTTCTTAAAAATCATAATAACTATGTTAAGATTTATCCAGGTTATCTATAGCAATAATTTAATTCATTTTATTTCCAAGTCGATATAATTTGTTTGTCCTTTTACCTCTTGATGGATCTTTAGGTTCTTCTCAGTTTGGAGCTATTACAAATAAAGCTACTGTTTATACAAGTCTTTTTATGAACATATGCTTTTTCTTCTCTTGGGTAAATGCTTAGGAGCTAACTGACGGATTTATTTGGTAGATAAATATTTAAATACTTTAGGAAACTACCAACTATTTCCCATAGTGGCTATACCATTTTTTGTTCCCATTATGAATGAATGAAGGTTCAAATTGCCCCATATCCTCATCAATAATACTATCATTAGTCTTTTTAATTTTAGCCAATCTAATTTTTTATATAGTAGCATCTTATATTTGTTTTCAATTGCATTTTCTTGATGACTAGTAATAAACACTGATTTGTAATGAGTAGAATGTCTGCTCAAATCTTTAAAAAGAGCTTCATCTGGTTGAGCTTTAAGAACCATTTGTGAAGACTGGATAAAAAAATCTTTATAAGATACATGGTCTGCAAATATTTTTTCTCCTTATTTTTGACTTGTCTTTTTATAACAAAGCAGGATTTCTTATTTTTATGGAGATTAACATTTTGATGGATTGTAAAATTGGACCTAGTGGATATCTACAGAATACTTCACCCAGCCACCACAGAATATACATTATTCTCATCTGCACAAGGAACATATTCTAAGCTTGACCTCATGCTATGTCATAAAGCAAGTCTCAATACATTAGAAAAAAAACAAAATAAAAAAACTAAGCAAACTCTTGGATCACAATACAATAAAAATAGAAGCAAATATCAAGATCTCTCAAAACTACACAAATATATTAAAATTAAACAATCTGCTCCTGAATAACTCTTGGATCAAGAAGGAAATTCAAGCAAAATCCAAAATTTTTTGAAATTAATGAAAATAGAGACACAACTTACCAAAATATTTTGGATACACCTAAAGTAGTGTTAGAGGGAATGTTTGTAGTACAAATACCTTCATGAAGAACTTAGAAAGATTTCAAATAACATTTCATCTAGAGGAACATGGGAAAAAAAGAACAAACCAAACCGAAAGCTAGCAGAAGAAAAAAAGAAATAGCTAAAATCAGAGACAAATTAAAAGAAATTGAGATGCAAAAATTTATACAACTTATCAGTGAAACCAAGAATTTGCTCTTCAAAAGAATAAACAAGGCTGATGGACAACTTGCTAGACTAACAAAGAAAAAAAGAATATCCAAATAAATACAATCAGAAATGACAAAGATGACTTTACAATCAATCCTATAGAAATACAAAAGGTCCTCAGAGACTATTACAAACACTTGTATGCATACAAACTAGAAAATCTACAGAAAATAGATAACACTTGTAAAAACTAATTCGTAATAAAAACCTATCACCTAAAGAAAAAAAAAAAAAAAAAAAAAAAAAGCCCTGGACCAGTTGCATTGACAGCCAGATTCTACCAGATGTACAAAGAAGAACTGGTACCAATCCTACTGAAACTATTCCAAAAAATTAAGGAGGACGGGCTCCTCCTTAGCTCATTGTACAAAGCCAGGGTCCACATAATAGCAAAATCTGGCAGAGACACACACAAAAAAGAAGATTTCAGGTCAATATCCCTGATGAACACAGATGCGAAAATCATCAACAAAATACTAGCAAACTGAATCTAGTAGAGCATCAAAAAGTTAACACACCATGATCAAGTAGGTTTTATTCCTGCGTTGTAACTCTGATTCAACATATGCAAATGACTAAATGTGATTCACCATATAAACAGAATGAAAAGCAAAAACTATATGATTAATCTCAATAGATGTAGTAAATGCTTTTGATAAAATCTAACATTGCTTCCTGATAAAAATCCTCAAGAAACTAGGCATCAAAGGAATATACCTCAAAATATTAAGAGCCATCTATGACAAACACAGTCAACATCACACCAAATGGGCAAAAACTGAAGCCATTCCTCTTGGGAACTGGAACAAGACAAGGATACCCCTTCTCATTACTCTTGAGAGAGAGGGGTGGGGGCATGAGCTGAAAAACTACCTATAGAGTACTATACCCACTATGTGGGTGACAGGATTATCCATATCCCAAACCCCAGCATCATGCAAAACATGTAACAAACCTGTACATGTATTCCCTGAATCTAAAGTAAAAGTTGAAATTATTAAAAAAAGAAAATTTTGCCTAACTTATAGTCAAAAAGAGTTTTCTCTGAGCCTTCTGGAAATTTTATAATTGTAGTCAAGTTTTAGGTTTTAACTTTAGCTCTGTGAACCATATAGTTCAAGGTATAGACCAAAGTTCATTTTTCTGCATACTGCTATCCCATGATTCTATCATGGATTTTGAAAAGACTGTCTTTTCTCCATTTAATACTTTTGATTCAGGACAAGCAACCCCCAAATTGGGGCTTAGCCTGGAAAGATTGTTTCACCCAGGAAAGAATTCAAGGGTGAGCCGTAGTGTTGGACAGGAATCTTTTATTTAACAGTACTGAAACTTGTGGAGCAGAGTTAACACATAAACAGTGTGCCCAGAGTCAGCAACATGTGGGCTCTTAACAACTGTCTTTATGCTCACTTATACATACTTTCAATTACATGTAAATTAAGGGGCAGATTAATGCAAATTGAGGGGAAATTCATTTAGAACTTTCTAGGAAAGTGGGAGCAATTTCCAGGTTATTGCCATTGAGAATGGTTTTAACTTTCAGGTCATTGCCATGACATCTGTAAACTGCCATGTTGCTGGTGGGAGTGTCCCATGCTAATGATCAATGGGGGTAGCCAGGGATCCCCCTCATTACCTAATCTGCTGGTTTTGGCCATTTTCTTCACCTTATCTCATCTGGACCAGATCTTCCTTTGGTCGGCAGGGTTATGACCAGAAAACAAGTCCTGCCAGTCTCCTGCCTCACTTTTACACCTTTGTTGAGAATCTATATGTGTGATGCTCTTTGTCTTTCTATGTATGTGTGTGTTTCTATGCCAATACTAAACTGTTTGACCACTGTAACTTTATTATAACTCTTGAAATTAAGTTGTAATGGTTCTCCAACTTTACTCTTCTTTTCCAGTTGACTTAGTTATTCCAGGTCCTTTTTATTTTAGAATCAACATGCTAATCTATATACTTTTTAAAAGTCTGGTGGGAATTTGATTGCAGTTTAATTGAATCTGTAGATCAATTTGGAGAGAGTGGACTTCTTAATACCGACATTTTCAAATATAAATACAAAATATGTCTTCATTTATTTAGGTCTTCTTTAGTTTTTCTGGAACTCATAGTCAAACAATTTCATTGGGGTTCTTTTTCTCAATCTCTTAGTTCTGTTTATGTCTGCATGGTTTTATTAGACATGCAAGTTGTGATTAAAATGTAGACACTGTAGCTGCCATCAGCTTAAGCCTTACATTTTTCTAACATGATAAAATCAATGAAGACAACAAAATTTAATATATAAACCTTAGAACAGAATTCTGATTAATCCCATTTGACTTATCTGTCTAATCTGGATCAAGTGCTGTGTAGTGAGCCAGCCTTCTTCCCCAAGATAACCTCTCCCTCTATCCACTCAAAATGTCAATGTCCCCAGGACACATTATTGGCTCTGTTCTCATTCTACCCATGGTTCTTTGGCATCTATGTGATCACTCACAAATTTGATACCATAGTCCAGGCCAATCTCCCTTGTCCCAGGCTCATAATCCCCACTGTCTATTAAGCATATCTTCCTGAATGTCTTAGTGACTAATCTAAGTTAACATGACAAGAACTTAGCATCTCCTTTTCCTCTGCTCTCTTAAATTGGAACATGTCACTACCCAGCTTAAAAACCTCCAAAGTTTTCTCATTGTCATTAGAGTAAAATCCAAACTTATTTTTGGCTACATGACTCCATGATCTGGATCCTGTATACATACCTAGCTTCATCATGTTCTACCTTCTTTTCTCTTCTACACTTTAACATTCTCAAATAAATTATATTTCTGTACCAAGACATCTGTCCCACGTCAAAGCTTTTGTCTTTGCTCTTTCCTTTGTTTCAATTCCCTTCCACTGCCTCTTCACAGGGCTGAGTTCTTATTACCCATTTTTCAAATCTAATATCCCTTTCCAAAATAGGCCTTCTTCATCCCTGCCTTCTCAACTAAAATAACATCCCCTTTACTTTCTTATCAGCCCATTCAGTTGTTTAATTGCACTTGTCACTGTCATCTAGTTATTTACTATATGCTATTCACTTCTCTAGGATGTAAGCTCCTAAAGGCAGAGATTTATTTGGCTGTTCAGTGTCATATCCCAACACTTTGTACAGTGTCTGTCACCTGAAAACATTTGAAAAATACTTGTTATGTCACTGAATGTATGAATGAGTAAATACCACTGCCATCCACTCAATAATTTTAAACCCCTGTCTTTTTTCTACTCCCATACCTGATTTGTCATGAATTGTCTAAGTCATAAACTCTAATTCTTTTAACACATTCTATCCGTCTTCACTCTTTCTCTCCACTATTCCTAGCTTAATTCAGTGCCTCTCCTCACAGTCTGGCTTAATTCAAGAATGTGCTTATTGATTTGTCTGCTGCCATTTTCAACTCCCTGCAATTCATCCTTGCATGACAGAAAATGGATTAAGCTCTGTCCTACTTAGATTCATTCAAGGTATCTATATTACCTACAGGTTAAAATCTAATTTTAGTACCATGATATACTGTTTACAATCATGAACTAGCCCTTGGCTATATTTTCTTGCTGTGCCTTTCCATCTACCTGGAACTCTCCACTTAATTGATATATAACTGCTTGCAAAAAAGTTATTTGACTCTCTTGTGTATTTCTCATGCAGTTTTCTCTTCCTGGATTGCCCTTGTCACCTATTTTTTCTGGGGAAAAGAATTATCTCATCAAGAAGACTTGCACATATACACACGATCAGTACTAAAGTCTAATACTGAAGAATAAACTCAGCTCTAGGGCCCAATAGTCTTGGTTTATTCACAGTGATAGTAAGCTGTGTGGCACTCCTTTAAGTTTTCTATACTCTCTGCATCTCAATTTTCTATTCTGTTAATATGAATGAAAAGAACATCAGCTTCATGATATAATATGCATAAATGATAATTCCTTATATGTTAATTATTGTTATTAAATGTGACTCCTTCCTCCTTTGTGTCCCCTCCATACCTTCTTTCACAGCATCTGCAATATTTCCCCACATTATTTACTCAGCCTGCAAGACAGTAGATGCTCCAAGGACAGGACTCCTAACTCTGTATCTCATCAGAAAGACATGTTCAATTAACGTTTGTTAAAGAATGGAGTACATTAGTTAACAGTGAAATTGCTACCTAAATCTAACTCATTTGATATAGACAGAAGGCTTTTTCCATCCTGAAAGGATTGCCTAAACTTCTTGCTTATTTCAAATAATCCAAGTTACCCTGACTGTCCAGAAAGAAAGAATCCATCTTTTAGTAGTACGTTTAGCTTGCTTTCACTCTGCAAATAGCCTATGGGACTACTTAACTAATAGGTCTCATACATGTGCTTGTTTAATGAATAAATTTGATGGGAGGGGAGATGCTCTTTCTATTGCTATTCTCCTCAGATTTCTGTCTTGGTCCTAAGGACTGGGACCTTGCACTTACTCCCAACTCACAAGAGGATGTTAGAGGAGCACTGTGGAGCCCTTTCTACATCCTAGGGCTCCTCTCTACATCAGAAATATCGTTCAAGCATGAACAATATTTTGTCCTTCGAAGTACGGGAATAGTTAAACACTTAATGCCTTAGCCATCTACTGTATCAGCTGCAGGAAGAGGACCTTCCATTTCCTACCTCCATTCACCTCTCTCCTTCAGTGGCCAGACAAACCATAATAACACTGGCTCTGTCTAGATTGGAACCAACTTCTCTGTCTAGACTGAAACCAACTTCTCCTTACACAGTACAGGTGGAAAGTGGGTTGGCAGCATCTAGTGCATGAGTGTGGAGAGAGAAAACAGTGTAGCATTCCCTCAAAAAAAAAAAAAAAGAAAAATAGAACTATCATGTTGCCCAGTAACCCCATTTTGGGGATATGTATATATCCAAAGGAGATGAAACCAGTATATTGAAGAGATATTTGCACTCCCATGTTCAAATATATATATATATACAGCATTACAGTATATATATATATAGAATATACACACACACACACACACACACACACACACACATGCATACATACACATACAATCACAATGGAATATTATTCGGCCTTAAGAAAAGGAAATCCTGCCACATTCTACAACATGGATGAACTGGAAGACATTATGTTAAATGAACTAAACCAGGCACAGAAGGACAAAACAACATGATTTTACTTATATGAGTTACTTAAAATAGTCAAACTCATAGAAACAGAGAACAGAATGCTGGCTCCTAGGGGCTAGAGGGAGGGGAAAAGGCGGGGTTGCTGTTCAACTGGTATAAAGTTTCAAATACGCAGAATGAATAAGTTCTATGGATCTGTTATACAACTCCGTGCCTGTACTTAACAATAATTTATCGTGCACTTAAAAATTTGTTAAGAGTGCAGGCCTCAAGTTAAGTGTTCTTACCACAATAATAAAGTAATTACATTTTAAAAAATTTAAGTAGATATATCATGGGTCTGCTGTCTACTTGGATATTATGAAGTTTGAATGAGGAGTGTATGAGATACACTTAACAAAGGTTTGTTCTGTTTTGTTTTTCCCCAAAATACTTAAAATAAATAGGATGTTGGTCTGTTACTAAAAGAAAAATATCTGATTGTATTATTTACTCAGAGGGAATAAGCCTGAGAAATAAATGAAGAACAGCTGGGGCAGACATGCCAGGTTATCTGCTTTCTCTGTAAGAAGCAGTTAAAACTACAGGGAAAAGAAGAAGAGAAAATGTCTGGAGAAAGAGGGATTATGTTGGGAGAAACAAAGAATCACTGGAGGGAATTCTGTGCTCAGAACAGTAGCTGAAACATGCTAATGATCAATTTAACACCTGCCATTTTAATTAACACCTAAGGATGAACTGAAAGAGGGTTGGAAACAGTAAAATGGTCGGAGAAGCAGCCCAGGGTCAGAGTGAAAAATAAAGCAGCATTGTTTGTGGAAGAAGGTGATATAGAATGGTAGTGAGAAGGAGCACAACTTTTATTTATGGGTTGTTTGTTTTTGGTTATTAGCTTATCTTCATGGTATAAAATTTGGAACTGAAGCTAATTGTTGAACTGTCTCAAGAAAGGTAGATTCTATAGAAACTATTTTAAAACTTTCTCTAGTAGTACTGAGATTTTAAAGAATCGAAAGAGCAAAGATTGCATGAGGTGCCTGTTGTATGAGACCCAGCCTAGTTTTTCAGCAGTCATATTTCTATTAATTTGAGCTACTGATATGGTTTGGCTGTGTCCCCAACAAAATCGCATCTTGTAGTTCCCATAATTCCCACATGTCATGGGAATGACTCAGTGGGAGGTAACTGAATCATGGGGGCAGTTACCCTCATGCTGCTCTCCTGACACTGAGTTCTCACAAGATCTGATGGTATTATAAGGGGCTTTCCCCCCATTTTGTTTATACCTCTCCGTTGTGCCACCCTGTGAAGAAAGACACGTGAGGTGTATATATGTGTATATATATATATATGTGTGTGTGTGTGTGTGTGTATGTGTATATATATGTGTGTGTATATGTGTGTGTATGTGTGTGTATATATATATATAATATTATATATATATATACACACACACACATACACACACCCCCCAATGATTGTAAGTTTCCTCAATGATTGTAAGTTTTCTGAGGTCTCCACAGCCATGCTGAACTGTGGGTCGATTAGACCTATTTCTTTTATAAATTACCCAGTCTCAGGTGTGTCTTTATTAGCAGCCTGAGAATGGACTGATACAGTAAATATAATAAACTGGCACCAGTAGAGTGGAGTGCTGCTATAAGAGTACCTGAAAATGCAGAAGCATCTTTGGAACTGGGTAACAGGCAGAGGATGGAACAATTTGGAGAGCTCAGAAGACAGGAAAACGTGGGAAACTTTAGAACTTCCTAAATACTTGTTGAATGACTTTGACCAAAATGCTGATAGTGATATGGACAATGAAGTCCAGATTGAGGTAGTCTCCAGTAGAGATGAGGAACTTGTTGGGGACTGGAGTAAAGATCACTCTTGCTATGTAAAGAGCCTGGCAGCATTTTGCCCTTGCCCTAGAGATCTGTGGAACTTTTAACTTGAGAGAGATGATTTAGGGTATCTGGCAGAAGCAATTTCTAAGCAACAAAATGTTCAAGAAGCAGCAGAGCATAAAAGTTTGGAAAGTTAGCAGCCTGATGATGAGATGGAAAAGAAAACCCCATTTCTCAGGAGAAAATCAAGCTGGCTACAGAAATTTGCATAAGTAAAGGGGAGCCAAATATTAATCACCAAGACCATGGGGAAAATGTCTCCATGGCATGTCAGAGACCTTCACTGCAGCCCCTCCCATCATAGGCCTGGAGGCTTAGGAGGGAAAAAAATGGTTGTATGGGTGGGGCCCAGGGCCCCCCTACTCTGTGCAGCCTCCAGACATGGTGCCCTGCATCCCAGCTGCTTCAGCTCCAGCCATGGCTAAAAGGGGCCAATGTACAGCTCAGGCCAATGCTTCAGACGGTGCAAGCCCCAGGGCTTGGTGGCTTACATGTGGTGTCGGGCCTGCAGGTACACAGAAGTCAAGAACTGAGGTTTGGAAACCTCTGTCTAGATTTCACAGGATGTATGGAAAGGCCTGGATGTCCAGGCAGAGGTCTGCTACAGGGGCAAAGCCCTCATGGAGAACCTCTGCTAGGGCAGTGTGAAAGGGAAATGTGGGGTTGGAACTTCCACACAGAGTGCTTACTGGGGCACTGCATAGTGGAGCTATGAGAATAGGGCCACTGTCCTCCAGCCCCCCAGATAGGTATATCCACCAACAGCCTGCACTGATGCACCTGGAAAAACCACAGACACTCAATGCCAGTTGTGAAAGCAGCTGGCGGGGTGGGGGGCAGCGCTGAACCTTGCAAAGCCATGGAGCTGGAGCTGCCGAAGGCCATGAGAGTTTACCTCTTGCATCAGCATGACCTGGATGTGAGACATGATGTCAAAGGAGATCATTTTGGAACTTAAAGGTTTAATGACTGCCCTATATTATTTCAGACTTGCACAGGGCCTATGGCCCCTTTGTTTTGTCCAATTTCTCCCATTTGGAATGGGTGTATTTGCCCAATGCCTGCACCTGCATTGTATCTAGGAAGTAACTAACTTGCTTTTGATTTCACAGGCTCATAGGCAAAAGGGACTTGCTTTGTCTCAGATAAGACATTGGGCTTGGACTTTTCAGTTAATGCTGAAAGGAGTTAAGACTTTGGTGGACTTTTGGAAGGGCATGATTGTGTTTTGAAATGTGAGGACATGAGATGTGGGAGGGGCCAGGGGTGGAATGATATGGTTTGTCTGTGTCCCCACCCAAATCTCAACTTGAATTATAGTTCCCATAATCCCCACATGTCATGGGAGGAACCCAGTAGGAGGTAATTGAATTATGCAGTCAGTTTCCCTCATGCTTTTCTCATGATAGTGAGTGAGTTCTCATGAGATCTGATGGTTTTACAAGGGGATTTTCCCCTTTTCCTCAGCACTTCTCCTTGCTGCCACCATGTGAAGAAGGACATGTTTGCTTTCCCTTCCACCATGATTGTAAGTTTTCTGAAGTCTCCCCAGCCGTGCTGAACTGTGAGTCAATTAAAACTGTTTTTCTTTATAAATTACCCAGTCTTGGGCATGTCTTTATTAGCAGGGTGAGAATGGACAAATATAGTTACTATCCAACTCTTTAGTAGTGGGAAAATACAAACTCCCATTACTTATAAGTTTAGTAGCCAAAATGCAGCAAAATTCAAATATAAATAAAACCCATATAAATAATTATGTATTTGCTTGGGGGGGTGTTGAACAATATATTACAGTAATTCAAAGCTACATAATAAACATCCCCAACGTCACAGACTTTGGGGAAAATGTTTCCTCAATTTGGGACTTACCATATTTACCTAATATCTGGGCTAGTGAGACTTTTTGATTCCTAATTTGCAAGGTAGAACTGCCCTCAGTTGGTATAAAGTTCATTCACAGCTCTGGTTATTAAGCTTTTCCATGTGGAACTGTGCCTGTCTTAGGACATGAATCTGTTACCAGCCATGAAGCCGTACTCAGGAAAGATCATTATAAGTGATATCATAGTTCTCAGCTTTTCTAAAATCATGAGAATGGAGTTTAACCGCTAGTGACATCTGACAAGTCCCTGCTATTCAACACATAATAGGTGTGATATGTTTATTGATAGTGCTTAGGAGAAGAGAAGGGCATCATGGATTATCAGAAAGTCACATCCCTGGTTGAATTCTTTTTCTTATACATTCCTAGAAAAAATAGAATAGATTGACAGATGTTCATACACGCAGCTGAGGAATGTGAGACCTCAGATCACAAAGTCTAAGGGCAAAGGTAAGCCGTAATACTTATCCCCAGGGTCCCTAATCTATCACCAGTTAAAATATCCATTAATAGAAAATATCCCAGAATTTTACATATCTAAATAAATTATCTTTGCAATCATTTTCCAATAACAGCATTTGAATAAAAAGCGATTAAAAATCAAGGCAACATTCACTAAACCTCATTCTGCAATAAAAATGTTCTTGAACATGGGATTAAATGTGATATAAACATGTAATAACTTTGTATATGCTTAATATCAATTTTAGTCTTGCTCTGTAGTTGCATTTTAATTCAGATTTTTAGTCTGGCAATTCAGAGTCTGATAATGTAATACTGGCATTTTTACATGATAATTGCATCTTTACAGTTCAGTAAAGTATATAGAAGATTGTTCCTTGTAAAGAGGATTGTTCTGGGGTTTTTGTGTTCTTTAGTTTTTTTGCTTGTTTGTGCTCAAAATAAGATGGGATGCCGTGAAAGGCAAACAATAATAGATATTAAGTAATGAGAAGAAAGAACAGTCCCTTGTTTTCTGATCCAGGAGAAACCATAGTACCAAGTATGCCAAGGGTATATTCTGGTCTTCCAAACAAAAGAATATAAGACTATTTCTAAAATCCTTTAATTAGTTTTAATTAAAGAATATAACTATCAAGGTAAGTTGTACCATCTTCTTTTCTTGGGCCCTTTCAAATATTCAGGGTACGCTTGAGCAATTGTTTGTGTGATAGGAACTAATCACACACTGACTTGTATTTTAAGCTATGAGAAATAATCACTCAGGAAGATTTAATAGCTTTTCTTATTCTAAAATCTATGGAACACTTTGTTAATTGCCAGAATTTTCCTTGTAAGAGTAAGAGTGAAAGACTAGAACTTCAAAGATTTCAAAAGCACATCTCAGGATATTCTCTGTGAAATGATAGTGTCGTTTGCTTTAATTTTAAATTTTTATGGGTACATAGTAGGTGTATATATTTATGAGGTATATTAGATATTTTGATACAGGCGCATAATGTGTAACAATCACATCAGGGTAAATATGGTACCCATCACGTAAAGCATTTATCATTTCTTTGTGTTACAAACATTCAAATTATACTTTAGTTTATTTTTTATTTTTTGTAGAGATGGGGTTTCACCATGTTACCCAGGCTGGTCTCGAACTCCTGGGCTTAAGTGATCCACTTGCCTCAGCCTCCCAAAGTGCTGGGATTACAGGCTTGAGCTCCTTTAGTTATTTTTAAATGTATAATAAATTATTGTTGATGTAGTCACCCTGTTGCACTATCAAATACTAGATCTTATTCATTCCAACTATATTTTTATATTTATTACCCATCCCCACTCAACACCTCTCCTGTTGTTGATGTTGGGTCAGACGCAGCTACATCAAGGAATTTAGGAGAACAATATTAGATCAGCTACTAGAGTCCCTTGATTTTTATCTATTTTGGTTTTATTTTATTCAAAGAAATCACCTAAAATGAACAAAACAGTTAATATATAGAAATCAAAATGGGATCTGTTAGTACAATTTTACACAATAAATTTTAGAGAAAAATTGATCGGGTGTCAATAGAAAAATAGCCTCTCTCTGTCTATCTGTCTTTCTCTCTGGCCTTACAGTGTAAAAGTCCTTCTCCAATCCTATTATCTTGAGAAATGCTTCCCATTCTTTGATTCATTTTGGCCTGCAAAATTCTTGCTTGTAATAAATGAGTGTGGTGAGAATGAAAAATTCATTTATGTAAATTGTTTTTCTTTAAAAAAAAATCTTAAAAATTAATTGTACACAATAAAAACATAAACACCATATGGCTTTACTCAGGTCAAAATGCAATTCGTTTTTTGTTAAACCTTGAAAAGGAACAAGTTTTTAAAAACTGGAGAGAAATTCCCAGGCCCAGCATTTATGGGCTCTGTAAATATCATCTTTCAGCAATAAAGGTGCCGTATGGAATAGTGTATCTTAGAAAATTTTGAATACGCCCCAAAAATTCAAAATTATTTTCTACACTAAAATATTAGTTAGTCGAGGATAGCTCACTGAAATAGTATTCTATATCTAGGAGTATTACTTAAAATACATAGGTGAGAATCATTCTTTGTTTTAAATTTAGAAAGTTCTAAATTTAGAAAGTTCTAAATCAAAAAATGATTCTATATTTTTTGATTTTATATTCTATAAATGATTTTATGTTTCTATACATTTAGCCATGAAGACTTGGCTTTAGTTTGCTTCTATTAAATGTTGTAAAGCTGTAAAGTCCAATTACTGGGAATTTTGTAAGAAATGGCTAAATTGGTCTGTGAAATTTTAAGTTCAAGAAACCTATTTAAAGCATATAATGCAAGAAACAAAAGGCAATAAGGTATGGTCTCTAGTCTAAAAGATTTATAGTTCAGTGATCAAACATAAATAATAAAAAGAACAACAAATATATACATACTTATATGTGGCTGATGTATCTGTGTGTATATAAATGATTATGCTAGATATATATAAATACATATATGTATATATATATTTGAGACTTCTTTTAATATATATTTAAATACATATATTTAGAGGAACCACAAGTACCTATAATAAAAGAAAACACAAGAATGGCATGAAAAAAAGCAATGGAGCTGGTGGAGAAAGAGATGTCTGGTTGGAGGAAATCGCAGCAGGTCTTATGCAGGCTGTGGGACCTAGTAGTGATGACTAAGATCTTTCAGAACG
Organism: Homo sapiens; assembly: GCF_000001405.40. Classification (NCBI taxonomy): domain Eukaryota; kingdom Metazoa; phylum Chordata; class Mammalia; order Primates; family Hominidae; genus Homo; species Homo sapiens. The sequence continues at coordinate 76,169,696 of NC_000013.11, read as the reverse complement.
GGTGAGTTATCAATAAATAGATATGAGGCCATTTTAAGGTACAAAAAGAAAATAAGTACAACACACATTAAACAGCTGAAATATCCAAAGACAGAAAATGAAATTCCACACTAGTCCAGAATGACTCTGATAAGAGAGTGTGGTGTGATGGAGATAAGCCTGGATAGTACTTTGGAAAGCCAGATATATGTTTTTATCAACCCTACCCTCGATAGGTTTTATCAGACCAAGCCTTTATCAAATCAAACTTCTAAAGATTTGATTTTATTGAGTTGGCCAAAAACACTGAAGGTTTTTGACCAGGGGAGCAAAAAAAAATCAGAGCTAAGAAATGGGAAGTTTCCACTTAATATATACATAATAAGAGAAACAGGATTACCATTCAGAGAACATTTGTGCAGTGGTCCAGAAGAGAAATAATATGGAGTGAACTTGAAGTGTTGGGAGTAAAAAAGGGAAGGACAAGAAGAAACAAACATGGGAGGTATTTCGTGGATAGCTCATGACTGAAATACATGTGGCCCAAGAGTTCAAGCCCAGCCTGGACAACACAGTGGGACCCATTCTCTACAAAAAAATTTTAAAAAAAGTTAGCTGGGTGTGGTGGCATGTGCTTGCTGTCCCAGATACTTGGGAGGCTGAGGTGGGAGGACCACCTGAGCCTGGGAGGTTGAGGCTGCAATGCAGTGAGCCATGATCATGCCACTGCACACCAGCCTGGGTGACAGAGTGAGGTTCTGCCTCAAAAAAAAAAAAAAAAAAAAAAAAAAAAAAGTACACGTGGAGCCAACAGATCAGACAGGACTGACTTTGTGAGTCAGCAGAACAATTTCCCAAACACAACCACATCTTCCTAACAAACATCTCCTGAGCATTCACCACACGGAAAGCCTCATAAACTGTGTTGGGTCTGGGTCCACACAGATGAGTAAGACAATATAGACAGTGCATGCGAAGAGTACTGGTAAATTCATAAAAAAGGAAAGCAAGTAAATTTCTATCCTAACAATTCAAGCTTAATAACTGCATAAAACTCAGAAAGGTGGTTTCTGTTGGAACCTGTGGTGAGGAGTAGGAGCCAGAGAAAGTAAGGTGAAGGGACAGGGAACATTCAGGAAGCATGAGGTTAAAGGGAACCCTCAGGAAGCATGGTACAGAGAGAGAAGATTAGTTCAGTGATGGGAAATGATTTGGAAGTACATGGAAATATAGAAGGTGCTAGGGATTAAAAGTTTATTTCCCCCTAAAATTCATATGTTGCAGCTGAATCCCCAATGTGATATTCTGAGGTGGGCTTTTGGAAGGTAATCAGGTCATAAGGGTGGAACCCTCATGAGTCTGATCAGTGCCCTTATGAGAAGTAGCACAAGACCTTGCTTTTGCTCTCTGTTCTCTGCCATGTGAGAATGCAACCAGATAACAGCCACCTGCAAACCAGGAAACAAGCCCTCAACAGAGGATGGATCTGCAGACACCTTGATCTTGGGCTTCCCAGCCTCCAAAACAGTGAAAAATAAATGTTGTTGTTTATGCCACACAGTCTATAACAACTTGTCATAGCAGCCCAAGCCGACTTAGATAGGAAGAGAGGACAAAAAGAGGTTTTGCACTTTGTATAATACAGAAAGAGAGATGAGGGGAACAGAATGTTGTAAGTAGGCTGGAGGCAAAAATTGTCAGTATTAAAAAGTAAGTGCCATGTACACAGAATTTTCTTATTGAATAAGTATGTAGTGGAAGCCAGCTGAAATCCCGTTTCACTGGGAATAGGTAATTTAAATGAGAGTCTTTATCTTTCGGTTTCCCCTGCCCAGATGGTGATGTTGAAGGCTTCAGTTACTTCTATGGGAGGAGGAAGGGTATGAGCAGTGAAGTCTCAGGCTTCTTCTTGTAATGTCCACAGGTCTAATTAGGTTTTCAGTATTTATGGTTGATGTGGAAACATGCTTTTATAAGCCTACCTTGTTCGCATTTGAAATACAATTATTTTGGTGGCATTTAAAAATTATTTCAGTGACATTTAAAAACTTTCCCTCAAAGAATAAAGAAAAATCTGATGACCTAGAATTTTATATCCACACCATGAAACATAATGCAGTCATTAAAAAGAATGAATGAGAGGTAAACCATTTGTTTTGGAGTGACTTCCACAAAGACAAGGTGAGTGGAAAAATAACATAAATAAGTATAATGGTATGATACTGGTTTTTGTGTAACAAACTACTGCAAAACTTCCTGCACATGTAACTTGCACATACGTAAATTATGATAACATGAGCTTGTAGAAAATATGGAATAACATGTAGTAGATATTCACAAGGATTCCTCTGAGTAGAGGGTTATGTGGATGGAAGGAAGATGAAGTAGTAATGGAATCCAGAGAGAAAGAAAAACAGCCAGCCGCTGTGGCTCACGTCTGTAATCCTAGCACTTCGGGAGGCTGAGGTGGGCAGATCACAAGGTCAGGAGTTCGAGATCAGCCTGGCCAACATGGTGAAACCCTGTCTCTAACTAAAGATACAAAAAATTAGCAGGGTGTGGTGGTTCGTGCCTGTAATTCCAGCTACTTGGGAGGCTGAGGCAGGAGAATTGCTTGAACTCAGGAGGCGGAGGTTGCAGTGAGCCAAGATCGTGCCATTGCACTGCAGCCTGGGCAACAGGACGAGACTCCATACCAAAAACAAAACAAAATAACTCTGCACTTTAAGAAATACATGTGCAGTAATTAAATTTATGAATGCATATATAAGTTTACATTTATCTGAAAGTGCACTCGAAATATAGTTATATAGAAATTGGGGGTTTTTTTGAAAGGTTTAAAAGCACAAGCACATTTAATAAGAGTAATATTGAATTTCAAACAAGATAAAGAGAGAGCAAAACTCTGGAGATTATTTTTCAGTTTATTACCCCTTCGGAAACCCATTCTGTTTCTTCTGGTGTTCAAAGTATAATCTCTGGAAACTGAGCTCCCTGAACATGTCAATTTTGTTTCATGTATGAGCTCTTCCTGTGAAATCTCCTTTGCACTTTAGCGCCAGTGGATGAAAACTGGCTTTTATTCAACTATCACAGTCATTTTTCAGAGGAGATGTCATCTCCATCTGACTAGTTCAATCATTATTTACTTTATTCCAGCACCTGAAAGGCAAACCAACTCTAGTTGTGGCTAATTTCCCTACCTAACCACAGAGTTTCCAAGATTTTCTCCAGAACTAAATGTTACACTGAATAGTATTCTAAGCTATGCTTATGTGATAGTGTAGAGCCTTCATCAATCTGGTTTTTTTTCCCCAACATTTATCAGCAAAGTAGTGAGAAGCATCATACTGCATTAATGAAGAATTTCCCTTGGTCTCTGCTGCCATTGCCACACTGGGGCCAACCTATGAGAGAGATGTCTGAAGCAGAATCAGGACAGCAGAAATGACAAGCAGCTTACTGGTGAATAAACGAACATGGTGCTTGACAGCTCTGGGGATTGTCTGTATTATGGCTTTGCTCAGGAACTAGAATACATTATCCTCCATCACTGCATATTTAAGTCCTTCTCATTTTCAACGTTCAATTTAAAGGTTTCTCTTGCAGCAAGGGATTTGGTCATTTGTTTCATATTTGAGATATTCTGTGTGTTGATTATACTGGTAGATATTAGCAAGCTCTTCCTGACTCCTCCCCAGCTAGTATTCCTTTACTCTTCTTCCCCTCTTCTGTATTGCAGTAGAAACTAGCCTGAATTCTTTTTTGGTGTGTATTACCCTCTAGCTGATATAATAATAAAGTAGCTTGTCTCTACTTTCAGAGTTAACCTCTGAAAGAAGAGGAGTTCCTCCCTATATAATATGTTACTGCACCAACACATTGCTGATAGCAAGATATGTGATCAATAGTTTGTTGACTGAGTCATTTCTCAGCTGAGATGGAATACTGGGCCACCATCTTTGAGAGGAACTTGGGGATTCCACAGGCAGCTGGATGTGCATTCACAACAATGTCTTCTATCCAAAGATATTTTGATTGGTTCCTCTTCAACTTCAGTAAATTCTAGCAATGCAGAGACGTGACTGGAAAGAGCCTACTCCTCGCTTCTCATGAAGCAGAAGATTTTGTTCCTTCTGTGTCTTTCCAAATCTAGCAGCATAATCAGTGTTGTGTTGTTACAATCTGTTAGTCTTCTAAAAATGAGAACAATGACCTTTGTGTTAATGAGTTGACACAAAAGCCTGCTGGGACTGGAAGAATAAGACTTAATGGGACTTGAGATTATACATTCCAATCATATCTGTGAAGGTAATAACTAATGTTAATGATCACATCAAATAGACATGCATTCATACTAATGTGCTTTTTAATCTCTTTTCTCTTGCTGAGATGTTCTAAGGATTACCTAGCAATACAATAAACATACTAAAGACTGCCCCTCAAAGTCTCGAAACATAGAGAAAAATACTTCATTGTACTTTTAAAAATGAGCAAATTGGTCCGTTGCTTTACATTTAGAGAAACATCACTTCAAAAGGTGTTTAAGAACTGGAGAAAAACATACTAAGAATATTACACAATATAGCCAACATGCTTTAAAAAATAAATGTAGCCCTGGTTTTCCAACTTTTTATAAGCCCTTCATATCATGTAGTAGTAAGTGTTTTGAAGAATAAATAAATAGTGAAAGAATAGGGAATTGTAAGGAAAGGAAGAGGTATTATTTTAGATAGGGTATGAGAAGACAAAGCCAATGGAATGTTAATGGTATTTGTAACCCCTCTAGATTGTGCCTGCTTCAGCACCACATGTTCTGATACTTCTAGTACTGCCTGTCTCAAGCAAGGACGGCTCACTCCATCAGGGCTCTTGTCCTAGGTTTCATTGAACCTATCTTCAGCCATAAACTTCTGGAAATTGTATGTGAGATTTTCTGTAACAGTAAGTGGACATTTTTCTTGGGAGTTTAAAAAACTTTAAGAGTAGTAAACTAGATGATGAACTATTTGTTTTATATCCTGTTGTATAGACAAGGGACATGACCAGGCACGCACACAAAGGCTTCTGGAATAACATCCCTGGGAACACTCACAGAGACAACAGCATGTGGTGTCCCACTTAGCCCATTGCACTCTGGAACAGCAGATGGGGATGTTCAGGCTCTGGAAGAAGAACACAGCCCTCAAGTTGCTGGTTTTTAGCTGAATCATTAAAGATGCACCAACACTTCCCCTGGTGTAACCAAGGTCTGTGGCCTAAGCCTTATGGTAATAGTCAAGTGTCCCAGAAAATCCTGGTCTCCAGCCAAACTCTGCTACTGCATTCGTCATTGGTTCGGAGGGGCAAGGGAGGAGAGATCTTCCCTCTAATGTAGTCTGGGAGCTGGGATCCATGTTTTGTGGTTGCAGCATTGACAGCAATTCTGGCCTAAGTCACCCCTACTGAGATGGATTTGGAAATTATAGGGAAAGCTGCATGATAAAGTAAGAAAACTCTGGTTCCTTGTTTCTCACTCTAAAGTTTAACACCTAGTTGAGAATAAATAGGCTTTGGATCAAAAATAGTCCAAGAAATCACTTGTGTTACTCCCCACTTCAGGTAACTTTAGTTGCCCTCTTTTCTCTCAGTTTGATGCATCCAAGTATTCCTTGACTTGCAAAGAAGCAACACACTCTGCTCCCTCCATTCCCATAGGCACAGACCCTAGTGTCATCACCATGGAAGCTGTTTATTATTTATTCATCTGTTTGCTTATGTTCGGTTATTTATATACTGATTTAGTTCATGATGAATTTGTGGTGCCCCAAGGGAAACACACCACTGTTGTAATAAGATCCTGACTTCCTAGCTCCTATGTATTCAGATACGAAGGAAGGGAAGAGGCTGAGGGAAGCCAGAGGGGCTTCTGGGAAATGGCCATGGGGAACAGGATCTCAAGAGACCTGGGTGGCTGTTGTGGTAGTCAGGTAACTCTGCTCCAAACCTCCTAGATTTTGCTCTTCACTTTGTTCTCTGCCTAACATGCTATTTGCAAGAACTCTCTTTTTAAAAAGCATAACTATCTTGAAGGGAGGTTGAAAATTAAATCATTCTTATTTAGGTGTTAATTCATGATGTTTCTCCCAATTTGCAGTAGAGTTCAGATGCATTGATGGTTAGACTGGGAAAGCAGAGAGAGAGTTTATTTTGGAGTATGGAGCCTTTGGAGTCAGAGTAGATATTGGAAGGGTGGGAAGATTAGATCATCAGCTAGGCTTTGCTCATCTAAACCTCTAAAGAGAGAAACATGGAAGCTGGGAACTAGATGGATAAAAAAACGGTGAGAAGTATCAAGACCAGCCTTACTTATTTCAGAATTACACTTGGGCTGGCACTGCCCCATGACATTTAATGGAACCTTCCTTTTCTTTCTCCCTCTTCATATCTGTTTTCTCCTCTTCTTCCACATCTTCTCCTCCCTCCTGCTCCTTTTTTCCTTCCCTTCCTGCCTTCTGAAACACTTGACCTCTACTAGATCTCTGGGGAGAACTGTTGATACTATAATCCTGCTACATAATTGATTAAATACAATCATTAAGGTGTTAGCAATAGAAGGGGAACTAGAGAGCATCAACTCCTTCAGTTGGAAAATAAGAAAAGTAAAGCTCCAAAAAGGAAAGTCTCAAATTAGCACAAGGTCATTCTGGGACTAGAATCCAGGTTTCCTGACGCCCAACTAATGGTTCTTTCTGCTCCACTTAGAAATCCCTGAGTAAGCCAAAAACTACATACCACACATGATATTATTTTACCCATGAAGCAAACCACTTAAATGCCTTATTTGTGTCAACATTGTGCTGAAACCTGGAAATTAAAGCGGGAATTTAATTTTAAAAGCACTTTATAGTCCTTTGTTTATATTCCTTAAAATTACAGAGTTGATTGTAGATTATCCATTTTACAGCCGTAGAAACAAAAACAAGTCAAAGACATTTCACAGATGACCCAAAATACAATTTGAATTTAGATGATCTGGATTTATTTGTCTATTTGAATTTGCTGATTCTTCATTCTCCTTAAATTTCAATATGAACCAATCACAGTTGTGAACATGAAAATGTTAGAGGGAAGCAGTAATACTAAATGGAAAAGCCTATTATGTACTGCTGATTCTTGGAAATCATATGGTTCGACTTAACAGTTTCATCTTTCCATCTTAAAGGAGCTCTATGGAAATAAATGGCTGTACATAGAATGACTGAGGACAGGCTGAGTGGCGCAAATATGGAACAGGGGCTTCCAAGGCTTCAACAGCCCTGGGTGCCTGGTGTATAAAGCAGAATAGCTAGCATTAGTAATAGTCACAATACAGTATTTATTCAGCTTCATCCCCATTTGTACAACATCCTCCTTGCAGCTGCAATTTCTCCCAAATGTTTCCAGGAATGGGATGTTGGATTGATTGACTAGACATAGTGATATAGTTTGAATGTCTGTCCCTTCCAAATCTCATGTTGAAATGTAATCCCCAGTGTTGGAGGTGGGACCTGGTGGGAAGTGTTTGGGCCAAGAGGATCCCTCATGAATGGCTTAGCGCCACCCTCTCAATAATCAGTGAGTTCCCGCTCAGTGACTTTACACAAGATCTAGTTGTTAAAAGAGTGTTTCACCTACCCCTTCTCTCTCTTGCTGTCACTCTCGTCATGTGACATGCCTGCTCTCCCTTTGCCTTCCACCATGATTGGGAGCTTCCTGAGACCCTTACCAGAAGCTAAGTAGATGCTGGCACCATGCTTCCTTTACAACCTACAGAAACATGAGCCAATTAAACCTATTTTCTTTCTAAATTACACAGTTTCATGCATAGTGACACAAAAATGGATTAATACATATAGCTAGGGTTTTTTTATAAGCCCCTGACAAGTCCTCCTGGTTAGTATGTATGCTGGCCTCATTTTCTCTTATCTGCCCAGCTCAGTGTAGTAAAGCTGTTGAAGGCAAAATTTAACAGCTATTTAGATAACACATGCCTGGCAGGGTGGAGCCCAGGCTGCCAGGGTTCAGTTTGCTATTCAGAGTACTACCAATGGTACCCAACAGTGACTAACGCACTCCACCACCAAGACCTATGGGATGAAAATTATTATCTTTGTTTTCAAACTGGAGAGACTGGGCTCAGAAAATTTAAGTAACTTTACTAAAGTCACACAACTAGTAAATGGCAGGGTAATTTAAGGAACTTTACTAAAGTCACACAACTAGTAAATGGCAGGGTGGCATTTGAAACCAGCCAGTTAATTCTAGAGGCTGCCTTCTTAACATCACAACAAATGTCTGGGTTGAGGAGGCAATTGGACACCAACACATGTCTGGAGTCAGTCATGGAGTAAGGCCAGCTGGTTCTCTGGAGAAGGGCTGCTAGTGCTGAGGCATTAGAATAGCTGTGAATGTGTGTAAACCTGGCTGGCTTAGCATGAAATTTTTTGACTGAGTGAAGCACAAGGAAATAGAATTATCTCTACAGATAAACAGCTAAGACAGAGAAAACTTCCCATAATATATAAGTTGGGGGCAAGAGGAGATGATTTGGCTTTAGCTATATTGAATTGGCAAGAAAACATGGCTTGGTTTCAACAGACACTTCTTCATTCTAGATAGAAGGATTTAAAAGAACTCCATATAAGAGACTCCAGTTCAGTTTTGGCATGGTGTGTGACCAAATATAGCGCTGGAGAACTGAGATGGATTGCTTTTCTTCTTCTCACCCCAGAGCCCTCCAGCTTAAGCAAGTGGTAAAGTCCTACTAGACTTTCTGTAGGGTAGCCCCAAATCCAGCTCCCCAGCCAGGAGACCCAGCAACCTGGGAGGCTGTCCCTGGCCAGTCTCTGGGGGCAGTTACGGCTTTTTACAGGCTCAGCAGTCACGCTCTGAGTGCTGTGTCATAAGGGGACGCAGGTCCTCATCTCCACCCCACCCCTACCCCAATACTGGTGAATATGCAGGGATCCTGGAGTCTGGCACAAGAAGCTTTTAGCATTCATTTTGAGAGGTGAGAATGGTTATTTTCTGACTTATAAAGTTTGACACCCTAAATCCACATAGATGTAATATACTATGGTCCACATCCAAAATCAAGGAAGCATATGTTCAAAATTTTTAAAGTTTATCACAACCTGGCAGATAACATGACATCTCAACTCTTGCGTCTGCAGCAAGACAACCTTAAAAATAAATTCTCAGTGTGTAAGTTTTATTTAATAGATTACATTTTTGAAGTATACTTTCAGATTCTTTTTAGAACATTAATGACATCTTCCATGAACCAGCTGCTATTCCATTCTGCTTCAGCAGTAATTTTAATTTGTCATCATCAACCCTGTGCCCTAACATGCTTCTCTTCCAGGTGTGCCTGGAATCTCATTTTAGCCCAACTGTCACTGGCCTAAGCCTTTGGCCAGCAGCAGCAGCAGAGCTGGCATCTGCTCACATCCTGACGGGAGGTTTCTCTTTAACCGTGGTTAAGTCTCTCTATATAAAATGAAAAGAAAGATGAAGCAGAGGGCAGAAAGGGACTGGAGTTACTGGCTCTTGTTGAAAGGAAGAATGTCAGTGATTTGCAATAGGAAGGCCAGTGGGTGGAAACATGAAAACCAGTTATTATCTGATGCTGGTGAGAAGATGGGACTTAATGATAGACCTGACATGTCCTCTGAGTGAATGGTCATAGCATCCTGGCAGAAGGCAAAAGAATGCAGACCAAGAATTCTGGCCCTCTCTGAATAACCATTGTTACTATTACAAGCTCAAAATGACTTTTCCACTTCAGTTCTTTAACAAGTAGTGATAACATTAAATATCTCAATGAAGGTGTTGTTTTGACAATAGCGTTCACAACAACAAAAGGATCCAACAAAATCTCATTCTCTCTCTTAAGGAAAATAAAAATAGTTTTAGTCATTCATTAGAAAATTAGATTAAAATAAAGCCTTGCGAGGCACTATACTGTGTCACCTTTTTTGGTGTAGTTGAATGAATTTGGGTCTCAGGATCAGACTGACCTGGGTTTAAATGGTTGCCTGACCTTAGACAAGTAATTTAACCTCTCTCAGACTTAGTTTTTTCATCCATAAAATTGGACCATAGTCACCACATCATGGAATAATAAGAATAGATTATACGAGGTTGGTAATTCATCTAGCAATATGCCTGGTACCTTGTAGTAACTCAATAAATCCCTACTTAGTGCTCTGTAGAAGCCCAGAAACGTCTGTTGATTCAAAGAATATAGCACCTTCCTCAATTTCCCTGCAAATAGCTTAAGGTATGGTCAAAAACTAAAATTAGAAACCTGCAATAGAAAGGGAAAAAGGGTAGAGGAGGCTGCAGTATCCTGGGAAGAGCCAGGGACTGAAATCAGAAGGAGGCTTTGCTGTAACAGAACTGTGAGCACATTGCTTAACATCTTAAAGCCTCAGTATTCTCACCTACATCAAGGGGATAGCAATATCCCCTTTGCAGATGTTTATTTAAGACATCCTTCCTATGTACAGACATTGGGCTTGAGATCGAGTTTCCCACAAAGATGAATAAGCCACATTCAATGCCCTCAAAATAATTTGGAGCCTAGTGGAGGAATGAGTAACATATCCATATGAAAAAATTATGCTCACTGAATATAGGATCAGCTTTTGAATTTCCTACTCAGAAACGGTAAAACGTAACAATGATAGGCATGGATTTATGCCAGATGACTTTCAATCCAGGCTCTTCTACTTCATAGTTGTAAAAAATCAGGCAAGTTATTTAACCTATTGTTGGAAATGAAGGAAATAAAGGAATTGTTGTGAATATTAAATAATACATGTAAATATGGAGAACATAGTAAGCATTCAATAAAACATTAGCTCTAAAGTTTGCTAAAGGTACCCCTGCACTTGAGGCTGAAGATGACAGTCTTGAGGGGCCTCCTTGTAAATTATCTATCTTTGCTGACACCAGTAATCCATGTAGAAACATCCCCTAGGCTCTATTCTCAGAAATGGAATTGTTTTGGTGTTGTTAGGTACATCTACAATTTCAAAAGTCCAGACATTAACATCTGAATGTTATTCCTTGAAAGAACAGATTGATGGGAGCTACTTTTTTCCCATTGTTTTTCATAAAAGCTATCTTGCATACCTTATCTTGCCACTTATTACTTATAAGAGTTTTCCATTTTCTGTAAGAAAGTTTCTGTAAGTTGCTAAGAAAAGCACAAACTTAACATGCTACAAAGAAACTACAAGATGACAATGAGCTTCAGGGAAAATCACCACATACAGAGAATCAATTACGGAAGAAAAATGTTCAGGTTCTCATTGTCATGGTCTTTGAAAAGAAACTCTGTACCAAAGTAAGTGTTTCAAATGATAGTTTCAACCCCTGACTCCTACTCCAACCCAAGCCCTAGCTGTGTTCATTTCACCTCCTTTCCTCTCAAACTGGAAATAAAGATAAAATGCTGTGCATATGTAGTACCTTGTTTCCAAGGAGCCAAATAGACTTTAAACATATTACCCCATTCATCATCATGCTGAAAGAGGATATGACAACCATGTCTCCACACTTGTAAATGAGAAAATGAAGGAATGACAAAGGGAATTGACTGACAAAGGACACAGTGGAGTGGGTGACAAGGCAGGGAAAAGAACCTGGGTCTTGGAAATCTTTATTATTTCAAGGATATAAGAAGACCCATAAATCATAAATAATAAGATAAAACCTGGCTGCTGATTGCTTAGAGTGTAGTTAAGTCAAAGATGGGAGCATGTGGGCTTTCAAATATGTGTGATAAACCTCTTGTGCCTCCAGATGCTGGCAGGATATCCTCTTGGGTTTCTTCTCCTCTTGGCCCCCACCACTGTACGTCACTTCTCATACTATGATAAATTTTCTGATATCTAGTTATTTGCTACAAATTTTCAACTCTAACTTTAGGGTTTTATTATTTTTTTGTCTTCTCGTATACTCCAAATCAAATCATATGCCTATTTACTTTCCTTTCCAAAGCCTACTTATTGGTGCTGATTAAATTCCTTTCAGTTTCTTTTAAATTAAAAAAAAAAAAAAGAAATGTCAGCTAGTCTGGAAGACTGCGTTTTCTCAATATAGACATTGGTGAAACTGAATTAAATGTAATATATAATTTTATAGAGCTATTTTTTAAGAGGAGGGTAGTCAGGTTTTTAAATTTTCTTGGAGTAACATTCGTGGGTGAGAATATTGTTATAACTCAACTTGGGAGTTAGTAATTTTATAAATTAACCAATTAAGAATGTCAAGCTATCTCTTAAACAGTTTAAGAGAGCAAATGAGCAAATTACTTGGTATCAAAATCAAGTCCCCGAGAAAAGAGTGTGGATGACTTAGGGGTGGACACACAGTGGATCCAGAGGTGCTTGGAAGGAAGGCTTTGCCCTCAAACTGCCCTCTGCCTGTTCATTCACCAACGAACAAGAGGCCTAGACCTGGAAAAGGAAATCTTTATGTTCCACAGTCAGGAAAAAGACATAAACTACCAACTATCCTATAAGACAGTACTAAGTTCACCTTGAAAGTATTAAGAGAAGTGAAAGGGAAACAAACAAAACAAAACACATAACCAATAGGTAAGTGACATGGATTTCTAAAAATGACTTTTAGAGGCATTATAGCCTAGTTAAAGCACATACAGTACAGAATGGGTCAGAACTGAGTTAAATCCAAGATAAGCCACTTCTCAGCTGAGAGACCTTTCAGTTTATATAAAGCTTGATGATAATGAATATAAGTTCCTGGTGCGTAGTTGGACTGGCAATAAATAGTATTTATTAAAATTATCTTAATCTGTATCTTATTTTCTCCTTCCAAAAACACATTTGTAATCTGTCAACCCAAATTTTATTAATCAAGTTTTAATGTTTCAAAGAGCATGCTAATTAATTGAAGTTTTCTTTTCAGTTAATATGAATTTGATATATACAGCAGAAAGAGATAGCTCAATATCTTCTATTTAAAAGGACTGAGGTTTAAGATATGAACTGTTTTCATTATAGCAGAAAATATCTTAAGTATTTGTCATTACATATGTCTAACATATCTAATTATTTTATTTATACTGAACAATATGTCAAATGTTGTTATAATAATTATAATCTCCTTTATACCCTTATCTTGTCACTCTTAATTATGTTTTTGTTTGATCAGCCATATTTAGTATAGATTATTCTTTAAATAATTTCACCAGGCAACAAAATGTGAAAAATGTGGACCATAATGCTGACAACCTCACCTGTCTATGATGGCTTTTGATGTGTCCTCTTAGCTAAGTTAAACAGCAATTCCCAAAATTCCCTTTCTAGATCGTTTTCAGTTAAGATGAGCTGCAAGAGACATTCATTCCTGAGTTGGAGGAAAAAAGGGAATAGAAGCCATTTTGTAACATGCACATCCTGTCTCCTGGTTACTCAAACACTAATCTAGGTGCTGCTGTGATCAGATTTTGAAGATGAGATGAAAATGTCTAATCAGTTGACTTTCATTTTATCAAAAGATAAATTGTCAACTTTCATTTTATCAAAAGATAAATTGTCCTGGATAATCTAGGTGAGCCAGACTTACTCACTTGGAAGGTCTTTCAAAGACAACTTAGGCCTTGCCCAGGTTGAGACTCTTGCCTCTGGACAACAAATGTCAGCTTGTGCCCCTGGGTTCCAGCCTGCTCATGACCTCTCTTCTCGACCACTTGCTATGCAGAGTTTCGACTTGCTTTACTTAGCTATCATAATTGCATAGTCAGTTCTTTGTAATAGGTGTAGATAGATGGATGGATGGATAGAGATGTAAATATAGATATACACACATAAGATAGAGATGCTAGAGACAGCAATAGAGATGGGATAAGTAGACATCCTAATGGTTCTGCTTATCAGGTTGAACTCTGATATACTACCTTATCTTTCCGTATCTACTGAGGTCCCTGTGAGATCAAATGCTATACTAGATCTTGAATGCATTGATGACTCAATGGATCTGTTGATCTCCAAAGATAGACCGAAACTTTCATGTATTCATTTGAAATTTATAATTACTTACATATGAAAAGACTTAGAGTACATTAATTTTTACTAAAGGTTTTCTAGTTTTGTTGTTTTTACTAATCATGTTTACATGGATTTGCCTAAATGTCCTTCAAACTAATTTGCATCACAAAATGATTATTTAACACTAACTAGCTGAGTAACTTTGAGCAAATTACTTAACCTCTCTATCAGTTTCATCAATATGGAAAAGACAATATTTATCTCATTAGATTTTTATTAGAAATGATAATATATGCAAAGAATTTAGGATGGTGCTAGACATACAGCAAAACTGATATAAGTGTTATCTTCTATTATTATTAAATCAAATTACTTTCACAATCTTTACCCAGTTTTTCCAAAAAGTTGCTTATGTATGAGGGTAACAATAATAGTGCCAATTACTTATACCATAATTTTCATAGAATATTTTAAATTACTAGAAAAGATTTGCTTGAACAATAAACGACTAAGGTGTCCAACTATTCAGATGGTTACAGGAACAGGTTGGTTTTCTCTGGCTCCAGGGTTAATAACATGGCATAAAAAAAGAAGCCAGGTGCTGGTATCAGACACACCCAGTGGAATCCTGCAATGTAGTCCCTACATTGCACCAAAGTCATAAGGACTGGAGGTTACCAGCTATGTAATGATCTCTCTATTATTGTGGCTTCCAAGGAAGAAGTAGAGGACAGCAATATTATCATTTTTAAATCTAATACTAGATGACAGAATAATACAGATTACATGCTACTTGCAATGTTTAGATACTAAGAGTTTTATTAAGTTCCTTTCCCCAAATATTTGATTCAATAGGCATGTATTGAATACTTATTTTCAAGCTCTGCCAGGTGCTGTAAATATGAAAATGAAACAGTCCCTGGTCCATTTAAAAATACTTGGCCACCTTGCCATGAATCCCTCCACAGTAGATTTTTTTTATATTTGGCTTCATTCTCCTAACAACATTTTAAAAAACTCTTCAGTTATTTTGTTTTTTCTTGCCATCCTAAACATGTATGTATTCTTCAAGTTTCTGTGCTTGAAATTCTTTTTCTGCTTGTAGTATTTTAATCATGTGCCTTTTCATTTCCAGGGCTTCACCTCTGCATGACTGACTCCCAAATATATGTCTACAATTGAACATTGACCTACAGGTCCCTAAAACTTCAGAAGTCCAAAGCAGAACTTATTGTCACTTCTGTGACCCAAGCCAGACCCTTTTCTTGATGTGTGTGTGCATGTTATTGCTCTAGCATATAATTTGAAGCCAAGGTTGATTCCTCCTCATGCTTTTCTTTACATATCCAGTTAACTTCCAGGTCTTATATTTTGAGTTGTTTTTTTTTTACCTTGAAGGATTTCACAATCCATTTTGTTCCTTGCATTTTTCCTGACATCACTCTTGCCTTAGCCTTAGTGTGCTTATTTATCTTTTAGACGTTTCAATACCTTCATAATTTGTCTACTTCTTTTAGCTTTTGTCTCCTTCTCATCCTTCCAATGTCTTGCTTCCAGTTTAACATTTGTTAAGTTTCAATTAGTAACTTGATTGGAAGCCTTTTTTGGTTTCACAGCACTGACAGAATTAAACAGCATGAGTCAGTACACAAGAACTTCTAAGGATATCTCCAAACTACCATTCCAGTATCATCTAGAGCAAGAAATTAACACTTGTTGAATACTGACCACATACAGGAATGAGCAATTATATCTCTACAGGTATATATATGTGGTCCAATGTGTGTGTAAGTAGGGCAGGGTGAATAGAAAGAACAGTAAATTGTTCACAGGTCAGATAGTTCCAGCAAATGTAGTTCTAGTACCAAGAACAGGAAGAGAGTGGGAAAAAATACTATGAGCTAACAGTAGTTATAAATGAGGTACATGAACGCTGGCCACGGAGGATAGCAAAATAAAGAAAGGATAGTTTAGGTATGAACTTCAAACAAGTAAGTCTTTTGTTAGGTAGTTGAGAGCAGGCCTAAAATAATGCAATGCATGGAGCAGCACTGGGGAGCAAGGAGTCCCTTTCCTGCTGTCTTTGAATTTAGACAAGTAAGAGAAGGAACAACCTACTTTGTCTTCTGTAGTGATGGAGTTTCTACAGCTTCTCTCTCTTTATGAAAAGACACTTTTCAGGAAATGATATATTTTCACTGTCAACAAAGTGCACAGCATCTCAAATGACTATACTTCTGCAGGTTTCAGGTGTCATGGGCTTATAGTTTCAGAAAGCTCCCACTAGGTAAAGAACTTGCACTGTTTCAGTGCATAAGATTTGCAAACCAATTTTTCTGGCTATGTAAAACATTAGGAATCACTTTCCCTTAAAACATGAATTTCTTAGTAATACATTGCTATGAGTTGAATTGTGTCCCCTTTAAGAAAAAGGTAACACTGAAGTTCTAACCCCTAGTACTTCAGAATGTGACTTTATTCGGAAAGAGTCTCATTACAGAAATAATTTAAAATGAGGTCATTAGGATGAGTCCTAATCCCATACAACTGTTGTCATTATAAAAAGAGGAGGTTTGGACATAGAGACAGACATGCATAGAGGGAAGATGATGTAAAAGACAGAGACACAGGGAGAATGCTATACGAAGATGAGGGCATAGATTGTTGTGATACATCTACAAGTCCAGGATTGCCAGCAAACCACCAGAAGCTGGGAGAGAGGCATGCAACAGATTCTCCTTCACCACCCTCAGAAGGAACCAACCCTAGTGATACCTTAATTTTGAACATCTAGCCTCCAGAACTGTGATACAGTACATTTCTATTATTATAAGCCAGCCAGTTTTTGGTACTTTGTTATGCAGTTTTAAGAAACCAATATGTAGTTAACACAAAAATGTTATTTAAATTACTATTTTCTAGTATAAAAGAAAAGAAATAGAGTAAATTTCTAAAATATCACTATTTTTATTAAGAAGCAATTGCTTTTAGTCTCTCAGAGAAAATGTGTAGCAAATACCTTTATGTTTGAGCAGATATCTTTATGTTTGAGCAAATACTCTAATGTTTCCACAAGTAATAGTTATAGTAAGACTTATCAAAATATTTCTATTTTCTGTCTCCAACTTTTCTCTGAACTGCAGATCATTTTATATTAAATCCTTAATTTGATTCTTAGCCAATATGAGTGAGTAATCCTTCTTGCAATAGATCCCAATGCAGCGTGGATATCTGTACCCACTCCAAACTGCGGTGACTTTAATATCCATCTTATTTCTGAATTTTCTACAAGGATGAAGTATTTGAAGCTTAAACTGAAGTAAATCCAGGCTCACTTAAATCCTTGACTACTCCTTTTTCAATATTAGCTATTCTCAGTTAGACCCAGATGAAAGTCAACAATTTATGACTTCTGTAAAAACTAGAAGCAGTTTTGCAGACTAATTGATAGCCAAATTGAATTTCTACTGGAAAAAAATGCTTTCATTTGTTATTTAAACATCCATTCTATATTTGAGCAATTTCCACTATAAGAGTTAGCCATTTTTTCCTTGATGGTAATATTACCCTCAATACTAAGTACTAAAAATATTGCCTAAATGCTTTAGATCAGAAGATGAGAAAACTAATTATTTCTAAATGGCTTAATTTTGATTGTCTATATGTCTCACTCTTGTTTCCCTTCCCTGAACAAGGAAGAAGAAATTTATTTCATTCTTAATTCAATCACAAGAGCATCCTTGTTGAGCCAACCAGAGCCAATTACTGTTGTGTGGGTTGTATGTGTGGCAGTTCAGTGAAACCGAAGACATTTGATGCAGTTATGATGAATTTTATTCAATCTCATGCCAATGACTAAGAGTAACTGCTTAATAGGGAGAGTGTTTTCTTCCAATTTGAGACTGCGGAGCACTCTCTTAGCAAGAAACTCTGGCTTCAATGAAAGTGCACCTGAGCCCAGGCATATTTGATCACTCTTTCCATGTGTTAAAAAGAGTCCTGTTTCTTTCTGGAATTTTGATTGCATCTGTAAACACTGGCAACATTTATTTGCTTCACATCATTTTCTAAATCTATTAACTGTAGGAAAAGGAAACTTGTCCAGAGAAAAATAAAGTGAATGAAAAAAAAATACTGAAAATGGGGGTAGCATAAAATTAATGTGTCATAGATCAAATCTATAATTTTAGCAAAATGAATATTTTATTTGATGAATTTTATTTAATTTAGATGAATTACTAGATTTGTATCATTTTTAAAATCCCAGAGTTTCTTTTGATACAATATATAAGAAACAACTGAAAACATAATACACACACATTACTTTTCTACCTTTTTAGAAAAAAAATATTTTTCCAAGTATTTCTAAAGCATCTTAATCTACAGTTCACAGCCACAAGCAAATAAATACAAATCAATTCATGTTAGAGCTGGAGGAAGTTTTACAAATTTGTAAGTGGTAAGAAGAGAACACAACCAATGTCTGGTCTCAGGTAGCAACATGGGATTGAAACAATTGTATATTTCCACCCATCCATTAAAGTTAATTGACCAATCCTGTGTATACATTTGGGGTATAAAACATATTAAAGATATGCTTATTATCTAGAAGGCTGTCATATATACTTGAAGATGAAGTGCTAACCTCTTTCTCAAATTCCAGTTACACTTTTCTGACTATGAGACATTTGGAAGAGGAAAGGTTCTGTTGATTTTTCTCCAGAGGAATAAAAGCATTACAAGCTTTGTTAATATTCTGCCTGAGAAAGTGGTGTGTAAAAATGAATACTTTGAGGTGGTCTTTACTGAGAACATTTCTAGGTTTTCATGAGAGGAAATATTTCATAGATGCTGGCATCCAGCTGTGTGGAGTAATAAGGAAATAAGCAAAAGACACCTGAAAAATATTGCTAAAATCCTTTAATTCATGGTCAGTTTGGGAATTTGAGAAAAAGGATGTAAATTACACATATATTTTAGGAATCAAATGGTCTTGATGTCAATCCTGACTCCATCATTTAAAAACTGTAGGAAAATTTTAGGAAAACTTAGGAAAATTTTCTTATCTTCTTTTTATGCCTCATTCTTTCAGAGATAAAAAGTGGAACATATCACAAATTATTAGGTAAATAGGGGAAAATATCACTTGTGATGATTAAATAAGGTAATTTCTACAATACAGTTAATTTTCAAGACAGTTAATCTGGACCAGTTATTGAGTTACCTAATCCAGACAAGGAAATCCCATTGGTAAGAGTCAATCCACACACAGGAAAAAAAAAAAGGAGGGGAAAAAAAAGGTGTCAATCCTGTCCATTTTCTGTTAAAAGAATACATAAAAGCATGAAATTGTTTGAATTAGGCAGGTCCAAGTTAGAATCCTGACTCAACCACTTAATATATTTGGGTATAATGCTTATTTTCTCTCTGTATTCCTCATTGCTAAAATGAGGATAATAAAAATATCGATTTCATAGGATGTACATTTTTTTTTGAGATGGAGTTTCACTCTTTCATCCCGGATAGAGTGAAGTGGCACGATCTTGGCTCACTGCAACCTCCACCTCCCAGGTTCAAGTGATTTTCCTGCCTCAGCCTCCTGAGTAGCTGGGATAACAGGCACATGCCACCGGGCCTGGCTAATTTTTGTATTTTTAGTAGAGACGGGGTTTCACCATGTTGGCCAGGCTGGTCTTGAACTTGTGATCTCAGGTGATATGCCTGCCTCAGCCTCCCAAAGTGCTGGGATTACAGGCATGAGCCCCGCACCCAGTGGCATGTACATTTTTAAGAGATGACGCAGGTATAGTGTTTACCCTAGAACTTGGTATATATAATAAGCACTCAATGCCAGTTACTATTAATTTTTAATTTTTATTAAGAAAGGGTCATTGGGTTTCAACTTACTAGATCAGAGATATGGGTATTTCTTTAGCTGCAGCCTCTGTTAGCTGAAAAGTCTGGGACATCAATGGAATTGGTGGGCTCAAGCCAACTAAATCATATTAGCAATGTCTAGGTACCAATGGGAAGAGAGAAATGTATAAAATTTTATTTCCAAAATTTTCTGATAACATATGTTTTATAAGGTAAGACAAATATTGCAGGTTGTTTTATAACTCACATTCAGCATTCTCCACTTCCCTTTGTAGCAGAGGTAACCAATGACACATGTAGCTTTTTCAAAAGCAGTAATTACCGAGCAGGTATTTTGTGATAAATGTAATGCTAGGCTCTGAAGACAAAAGAGTTGAAAACAATAGATTCCATCTTTTCTCTTATGGAGTTGTAGTCTAATAATGATGGCAAGTGCTCAAAAAATCACACAAGTAAATATACAATTATAAATTATGTAAGTGCTATAAAGAAAACATAAAATTGAAAGCCGGGAGATTGATAGCATGCTCGATCTTCCTGGTTTGCCCAAGACCGTCCTGATTTTAGCACTGAAAGTCTCACTTTCTAAAAATCCCCTCAGTCATGGGTAAACCAGGAGAGTTACTCACCACAGAAGTATGGTGGGGAGCCCTGACAGAGCTGAGCAGCCTGAAGAGTAGGAGTGGAGCAGCCTCAGATTTAATAGAAGAGCATTCCTGGAAAATGAGCAACTGGATAAGGCCCAAGATGGAAAGAGCTCAGTTTCAAGCCCCACCAGAGATGGGGGTTGGGGCTTGAATTGAGGATGGTATGGCAGGTTGATTGTGCTGTGCCTGGTAGCCTATGTTGGAGGGTTGGGAGGAAGTGGATTTTTACCTTAACAGCAAAGGAAAGATTCTAATAGGTTGCAGGCAGAGGGACAACCAAGCTCAAAAATCCTTTATGGTTCATATTTTAAGATAATCAGCCTGGCTACAGTGGGGAGAAATGACAGGAGGTGGAAAATGCAAATGGTGAACAGTGGGTGGATTTGAGAGCAATTCTGATATTTGAAGACCATTAGTTTTTCATCTCATTAGGACAGAACACCTTAACAATGGTACTCAAAAAGTGGTCAGCAGCATCAGCTGAGAATTTGTTAAATCTGCAATTTCTTGAGCCCCTGTGTAGACATACTGAATCAGAAACTCTGGGTGTGGGCCTAGCAATCTGTGTTATTTTTAGACAGATCTAAGTTCAAATCCAAGTTTAACAAGCCCTCCAGGTGACTCTCATGCCCAGCTGAAGTTTGGCAAGCATCCAAACTTCAAAAGTCAGACTTAGAAAGGATGGAAATTAGGTAATGGTATCACTCCACTTGAAGGGTAAGATTCTACCTAATAATAGAGGTAGAGAACAGAGGTGTACCTTGTTTTTATTGACAAACATC
The DNA here is from genome assembly GCF_000001405.40 of Homo sapiens. Lineage (NCBI taxonomy): Eukaryota > Metazoa > Chordata > Mammalia > Primates > Hominidae > Homo > Homo sapiens. The sequence continues at coordinate 76,148,369 of NC_000013.11, read as the reverse complement.
TTTTTTCAGATTCTGGATTACATTATCAACAAAGTACTTCTGGAAGGATAATTAGCACCTTGAGAGAAAGGTATTTAAACTGTGGTTTGAAGGACAGAGACAAAAATAACTAGTGTAAAATTTATCAGTAATTGAGCAGGTGCCTTCTATGTAACCGGGTGACGAATGGGGAGAGCTAGGTAAAATAATGATTGTTACACAAAAAGAAAAGCCACAAAACAGATTGATTTCAGGTAGTACTGAAAACTAAGTCCCTTCCAGTCCTGTATTTCTGGATTCCATGGGCAGAATAAGAATTTTAACCCTTTGGTATTTAACTCTTTAGTATTTAGATCCAGATGTCTATATTCAAATATTTGAAATCCCAAGCTAAATTTTTGGTTTCTATTTTATTGTGAATTTTTTTAATGTAAGTGGTAGTTTGTTGATACATAATAGTTGTTCTATATATTTACGGGGTACAAATATTTTTGATACATACGACTTGCAATAATCAAATCAGGGTAATTAGGATATCCATCACATCAAACATGTATCACTTGTTTGTGTTGGGAACATTCCAGATTTTCTTATCTATTTTGAAATATATAGTTAAATATTACAAAAATTTATAGTACATTACATGGAGTATGTATGCATAGTATACAATCACCCTACTGTGCCATTGAACACTAAAGCTCATTCCTTCAATCTAACTGTATCTGGTGCCTATTCACCAATTTTTCTTCATCCCTTCTAGCCCTTACTCTTCCCAGCCTCTGATAACCATACTACTTTCTACTTCCATGAGATTCAGTTATTTTAGCTCCCACATGAGTCGTTGTGTTCTTGACTTATTTCACGTAACACAATCTCCTCCAGTTCCATCCATGTTGCTGCAAATGATAGGATTTCATTCTTTTTTGGCTACATGATATTCTATTGTGTATATGTACCACATTTTCTTTATTCATTCATCCATTGATGGACACTTAGTTTGATTCCCTATCTTGGCTCTTGTAAATAGTGCTACAATAAACATGGAAGTGCAGCTATCTCTTTGATACATTGATTTTCTTTTTTTTTTTGGATATATACCCAGCAGTGGGATTTCTGGATCATATGGTAGCTCTACTTTATGTTTTTTTAAGGAACTACATACTATTTTCCATAGTGGCTGTACTAATTTCCATTTCCGTAACAGTGTACAAGAATTCCACTTTCTCTTTGCATCCTTTCCAACATGTTTTCTACTTTTTTGATAGTAGTTACTTTAACTGAGGTGAGATGATATCTCATTGTGGTTTTGATTTGTGTTTCCCTGATGATTAGTGATGTGTTTTTTCATATACCTGTTGGTCATTTGTGTGTCTTGAGAAATGTCTATTAAGATCTTTAAGGAAGTGCACATGAACAGAAAGACATTATTGAAACTTGATGAGATGGGACTTGTGATCTGCAACAATGAAAGGTCACAGCTTACCAAAAAGATAAAACAAAACTTAATTAATAGGAAAGAAAAGAGTTCCACCCTGCATAAAAATTAAGAGTTGACAGTAGAACTGTGCTGGAAAAAAATTTCATGTAAAAAAAGCAACCAGATATGAGAGTAACTTTGGAAGAATACCACAAACTTCCAGATGAGAGGGAAATTATAAATTATGATTTCCTTGAATGATAAAATAGTGGAAGACAAAATCTAGTAGTGATAGGAAATCTATTCTTATAGCTCTAGAAAGTCTTATTTAATTCAATAGCTGAGTATAAAATGTATGTTTTCTTAATACCATTTTTGTCCCTTAGACAGGAAAGGAAAACCTGGGAATCTATTACTCTGTTTAATTTTGACCAACAGAGAAAAAGCAGTTTCTTACATAAATCTACTCAGGACTTTGGGAGATGTCATTTTGTTTCAGCGATTATAATAACAAACGAATAGATACACCTATTTCCTGAACATTCTTTCAAAGATCATTTATTTTTTGAATGTGGATATTTACAAAATGTCACTGATTACTCTTAGAAGGCATTTAGAATAATAAAAACGTTATCTAAGTCAACTGTTTCATTCTGGCAAGGAAGGAACAGAAGTTCATAGAACATGTGCCTTGGATTGCTTAACCAGGTGCCTTCTATGTACCCGGGTGATGAATGGGAAGAGCTATAACTGTTAGATTCCATGTATCCATAATAGCCTAGGATTTGCCTAAAATGATTCTCAAACTTTAATGTATATTAGAATTGCCTGGAAGGCTTTTTAAAAACACAGAATTCTGGGATCCAACCCCAGAGTTTCTGTTTTAATAGGTTCAGTGTCAGGCTGGAAAACTTGCATTTCTATCTAGTTCCCAGATGCTGATGCTGCTTGTTTCCCAATCACTTTAAGAACTGAGGACATAATGAAAGAAAGCACTTCAAGTTAAAGCCCCTGTAACTAAAATCTGCCCACAGCGCAAGTGAAATCGGTGACACAATTCTCTTTCAGCCTAAAAGAGAGTCTCTCTCTAGCTTCTCAACACTGTCTACACATGAGGAACCCCCCTGAGAAGTTTTAGAAACACCTGTGTCCTGGCTCCCTCTGCCCCACATTCTGTTTGAATTAATTTGAGTTTCCAACCTGAACATCAGTATGAGTTAAAAGTACTCACTTGCAGCCAGCATTGGGAATCACCGACCTTTACACTAGCAGGTCTTCAGTGTTTAGCTCTTCAGCCTGATCATGTCAGCATCATCCACCAACAGCTGCCAACTGGGCAACTTACCCTCAAACTTTCCGCCAATCAGGTGGCACACACTAGTGAGGGGTTAAGCATAATAAAAAGTTCCTTGGTTGTCATAAGAACTAATTAACTAGATTGCAGTTACAATCATCTAGAAAGCATCACTTTGAGTTGACAGATCAAACACTAAGCATTTTTACTAGTATCCTCATTATCAATAATAAACGTGTTAAACTTTTACAGCATAATCGGGAAAGAACAACCCTTTGGATGCACTCTTCAGATAAAGAGGAGCCAGGGTGCTTACACATATGATTGCTAGTTTTTTGCTTTCTGCCAATGTTTTTCAGAGGTAATAATGTATGTAGTCCCTGGGAAAATGCCTCTGAAGAAGACAAAGTGAGAGAGGGGATAAAACTGTAACATCTGTTGTAAAGGACAGTACACAGTGGGTGCTCAATTTTACTAACTTAATAAAATCAAATTATGTTAGGCAACTTAACTTATTTAAACAAATGTAAGCCCTTTTGTCAAATAAAAATATTTTCCCTGGTTTTGAAATCAATAGGATTGTCAATTTTACATGTATTCATTAGTATCCAGTCCTTAATATTTGTATTTGTAAAAGTAATGACTGAAGTGATGCATATGAAAACAATGGGCAAGTGACTTTTAGTTGTGTATTGTTTATTTGGTTATAAGTTTCTTTCCTTATTTAAATAACTTAAAGGAACCACTTCTCAAATCAATAGGCTAGCATACTAAGAACACATGTTGTATTATGTTATTTTTTGCCCTGGACCATAGTCAGAAAAATGGAGTGATATTTATATATTTGATAAAATAAATACAAATAACATATTTTTAGTTTTAGTTTTTATTACTCCCCTTCCATTCTATAAATATTAATATATTATCGATGTTTTCAACAATGAAGAAAGATCTTAATGATGAAAGAGATGTATATATTATCAATTCACCTTCAAGCAAGTAACATATTTAACTATTGTCAATATTATATAGGTTTATTTTTAAAATTGATCATATTTGCATCTAGATAAGGGAAAAATGTTCATCTTTATCTCTAATGGAATGTTGGCATTTTCATAACTATGAAAAATATTTAAATTTATGACTAGATCTTTACTCACAAGTTCTCAATGTTTAATGCTTTTATGTGAACTCATTTTCCTAAATTCAACACAAAACTTTCATAAGAACAAATAATTTTATGCAAGCAATTTATTCTGTTTTGCTGAATAATAGATTTCAGTACTTGCAACAGAGAGAATCTAGAAATACTGAGGGAAGAGTGAAGAAAGATCATCTCAGAAACTTGGAAGTTCACTTGTAGAATTCAACTCCAGAGGGCTTGGTAATTACTGTGGGGAATTTTCATCATTTAACAAGACTGTGAGCAACAACCTCAAAAAATCATTTTTTAAAGAGTTACTGGATGTGCACTTTGAATGGACAAAGGGATAGAACTTTAATGAGAGCTTGTATAATCTGTGACAATAGCAAAATAAAAAGTGGTAAACTAGATACTTGTGCCTGCATCTCCAAAATTAGAAAAGAAACTAATTTGCATAAAAATCTATCAAAACATTAAGGATGCACAACTGCATGCTAATTTTAGGGACTCCGTTTGTCCATTTTAAGAATTACATTGGACTTATACCATTTTTTGATATGTGTATTAGGTTCCTTCTCTCTCCCTCTCTCTCAATATATATTTTTATATATACACATAGTATATATGTTAGATATAGATACATACATATGTGTATATATGTTAGATATAGATACATACATATGTGTATATATGTATATACAGCTATATGTAGTTAGAAATCAGATAGCAAATATAGATGCTGATTTTTAACTTTTAAGAATTATTTTCCAGTTTTCTTGTTGTTGAATACTCTGGGTTGTAATAAATAAGGTATGAAATAAAATGTATTTTCTTCTATAACATTAGCTCAAGCCCAGCAGCTTAAAGAAACACTCTACCTTAGTACATGTTTTTGAATAAGAGATATAAAGAAGATACATAATGAAAGATTAGTGGTTTTACAGCTTGGTGACCCACAAAGGCAAAAAAGACAAAGGTATGAGATAGGGATAGGGTGAGAGAGGATGGCAGTTATAAACGTCTTCATCTTTGCACAATTCTTAGCACATAGTGTGTGCTTAATAAATTTTTATTTTAGGAGCAGATTAAGGTATATATATGGTATTATGATTACAGATTTTCAGATAAATTGAAAATAGGAAATAAGACTCCTTATGGATACTTAACATAAGCAAAATTTTAAAACTAGCAAAATGTAAGTCACTTAAAGGACATCCACAGAAAACAGAAGTGCTGATATATACAATATTCATTGCTCCTCAAATCAAACCAAATTTATTAAAACAAAGATGTACTTTCTGACTTATCTGCTCAATAGGAAAGCTTTCCTGCACTCCCTACCTCTGTCTTCAAAGCACTTACCTTCTACAAACTAATCATTTAAAGAAATAAATTATATCACGCTACTTCACTATTCACATTTTTCCTATAGTATCTCATTGTATTTCAAAAACAAACACACTCTGTATCATGGACTACCAATCAATGCATTATTTGAATTCTGCCTAACAACTCAGTTTCTCCAACTCATCGTCCCCTCTTCTTGTCCATTGTACTGGGACCCTGTTAGTGCCAGGACTACACCATGCACTGTTTCCCACCTCAAGGCCCCCAGGGATACAGCTCACTTGGCCTGGAATATCACACTTCTCCCTCTTCACCTAACTCACTCTACATTTAGGTCTCAGCTGATTTTATGAAGAGACTTTATCTCATTATCCTATGGATAAGTAAGGGCCCTGGTATTATTTTCTATTATTATTCACTGCTGTTCCCCTTTATAGTATTTATCTCAAGTGGTAATTATATAACTACATGTTTATTTGGCCATTGCCACTGTCCTCCTTCATAGCAGGAACACAAGGGGGAGGGAAAATGCATCTGTTGGGATTACGACTTTATACCCAATGCCTAGCTGAAAGCCTACCTTGCAGCAGGTGCTCAGTGTTTCTGAGGTGAATTTTTAAATTATAGTTGAAAGTGTCAGGATTCTGTTTAAATTAGACAAATCTTAGTCTTTAAGAGAAATGACAGTTTAATGACAAAGAAAAATTCAATTGTATCTAATTGCCCCTCAAAAGCAAAGGTTACTACAAAGAACCAACAAACATATGAAATAGGAATAGTGAAAATGAATCCATGTTGGTTTCCATGTATGAACCCTCAAAGCCAGAGTGAGAGTGAAGTATTTTATTCACTTTGCGTTTTAAATTTTATTTTACTGTGATAACACTTAACATGAGATCTACCCTTTCGGCAAAATTTTAAGTGTACAATACATTATTTTTAACTCTCGAGAGCTTATTCATCTTAACTGAAACTTTATGCTCGTTGATTTAGTAACTCCCAATTTTTCTCTCCACCCAGCCTCTAGTAATCACCATTCCACTTTTTTATTCTACAAATTTGACTATTTTAGATATCTCACATCAGTGGAAGCATGCAGTATTTGTCTTTTTGCGACCAACTTATTTCACAAAGAGCATAAAAATTCTCAATATTCATCCATGTTGTCTTGTATTGCACAATTTTCTTCTTTCTAAAGACAGAAGAGTATTTCATTGTATGTATTACCACATTTTCTTTATCCATTTATCTGTCGATGGGCACTTAGCTTGTTTCTACATCTTGGCTATCGTGAACAGTGTTGCAATGAACATGGAAATGCAAATTATCTTTTTAATATACTGGTTTCATTTCATTTTGATATATACCAATAAATGGAAGGACTGGATCACATGATAGTTCTGTTTTTAGATTTTTGAGAAAAACTCATTACTATTTTCAGTAACAGCTGCACCATTTTGTATTTCCTCCAACAGTGTGCAAGAGTTCTAGTTTCCCCATATCTTCACCAATACGATTGTCTTTGGTTTTTTTTATATCTTAATTTTAAAATTTGAGATTTTAAACTCTCCACAGATATGATTAAATTCAATTTTGGACAATGCCAAAATCAAGCTATTCACTTTTAAAAAATATTTTTGGAGGAAATAAATAAAACTTTATATTTAGCCTTTTACTCCAAGATAACAGGTACAATGATTTTATGAAGAGTCAAGTGGTAGTTGACACTTTCAAAAAGTAAAGGAAATCACACGATGAAAGAAAAATAATGTAACTGATTGCTCAGAGCAGGGTCACCATTTTCATTTGTAATTTGCAATGCAAAAGTGAAAAATGCTAGATTTTCTTTTCATTTACAAAGTCTACTATTTAAGTAGGAAAAGAAAATAGCAATTAAAAACTATTTAACAAATATGATCAAATGACAGTACAGAAATTTAATAACCAGGAGCACTGAATCACATGGATATGGGCTCACAAAGTGATCTTTAAATGATTGGAAAATACAAGTGCTCTTGTCTGCTGTTCTGAAATGCACTTGTGTAAATCAGGAATTGCAACAAGAGAATTGATCTTGGCTTCATAAATACTTCCTATGAACTTTTGAAACCCAATTTGTATCTTTATGTATAGTTGCCACAAGGATAATAACTGAAAATTGTTTGTGAACTCTAAAACTCTAGCCTCCTGGAATTTTTCATCCCTAATTTTTGTTTTTGATAAGCTTTTTATCAATATACTATGTAAACAGCTTCCATTTATAGATATCTTGAGAGGATAGAAAAAAGAATCTAAAACTTTATTTTAAAGAGTTTATTAAAAGAATAAAAAATTCATAAAATTATTCTTCTTAAAGCCTCCATTTTCCTGCTTTGCGGAATGTCACAATAGTCATATATACATATGGTTGCATGGATGGGTTATATATAGGGATTGGCATCCTCCTATTAAATTTTAACCATGACATTTTTTATTGAATTTCCCAATGACCTCCAAATAAGGGGCTTTCTCAGGAGACAAACAGGGTCAGATCTGTACTGTTAGCTAATCCAAGTACATTTTTAATAAAAGGAGTTTTAAATAGGGCTTAAATGCAGATTGGAAACTGAATCAGTTCCAAACCTACAAAGAGACGAAGATAAAAAGATAGAGACAGAGATGGAAATAAAGACAGACAGAGATGACAGAGACAGAGACACATATAGAGTTGTTAGATATACAGCCACATAGAGTCTCATGGATATATGGAAAGTGTAAGCCAAACATAATCAGGCACTTTTCAGAAGTTCTTCAGTGTTTAGATTTTTAAATTACACAAATGTCTTCCTTAATTATCTCACTGAGATGATTACTTTGTCAAATCCAGGCTGAAATATAATGCTTGACCGAATGTGACGATACATCAAAAAACAATAACCACTGGCTGGGCACTGTGGCTCATGTCTGTAATCCCGAGAATTTGGGAGGCCGAGGCAGGAGGATCACTGGAGGCTAGGAGTTTGAGACCAGCCTGGGCAACATTGCAAAATCCTGTCTCTACTTATTTTTGTGTTGTTTTGAGACAAGGTCTGCCTCTGTCGCCTAAGCTAGAGTGCAGTGGCGCTATCTTGGCTTGCCACAAACTCCACTTCCCGGGCTCAAGCGATTCTCCAGCCTCAACCTCCCAAGTAGCTGCGATCACAGATGTGAGCCACCAACACCCAGCTACTTTTTGTATGTTAGGTAGAGACAAGATTTCGCCATGTTGTCCGGGCTGGTCTCAAATTCACTAGCTCAAAGTTATCTGCCTGTCTTGGCCTCCCAAAGCGCTAGGATTACAGGCATGAGCCACCACGCCCGGCCAAAACTGTTTTAAAATTTAAAAAACTTATCTGAGCATGGTGGTGCATACATGTAGTCATGAGTGCTTGAGAGGCTAAGGCAGGAGTATCGCCTGAGCCCAGAAGTTCAAGGGTTCAGTGAGCCATAATCGCACCACTGTATTCCAGCCTGTGCAACAGAATGAGACCCTCATCTCCTTAGGAAGAAAACAAACAAAACAAACAACAATTAAAAAAAAAAAAAAAACAGTAACTACCAACAATAGTGAACAGTTTGGGGAAGGCTAAAGATAAAGAGAAATACTTAAAATTGAGTCCTCCATTTATTATTTATCTGCACAAATCTGTAGGACACAGCCTTTGCTCTCGCAAATGAACATTTCGTGCACCTTCAATGAGAAGGTTATTATTTCCCAGTAAAAGGATTCAATATTAATACTAATGTCAGAAACAACGTAGGAAAATATAATCTTGATTTTTGGATTTATCTTACTTTTTTTCTGCTTTCTTTTTGACTCAATAGAAATATCTCCTCTCCATTTAAGAATATCCCTCCATGTATTCTCTTCATATGATTCCTTCCTAACTCCTGAAAAAGAATAACCCAGTATTATTTCTGTTTTTGCTTCAAAATGCTTGAATTCCTCCAATCTTTGAGCAATTATTTGCCTTTGTTTTTTATTTTGCTAAGGAATTTCACTGGGCCTATTTTTTCTTCTTCCAGTTTTATACAACCACCCACTATCCCTAAAGATTGCTTTTTTGCCAAGTTCCTACCTGAAGCTACTCTCCATAAAGTCTTCTAATAATAATAAAATGCAGTGGCTTTCTAAATCTTCATTTTCTAGCCAAAGCTATCCTAAGCAAAAAGAACAAAGCTGGAGGTATCACAGTACCTGACTTCAAATTATATTAAAGTCTATAGAAACCGAAATAGCATGGTAGATCAATGGAACAGAACAGAGAACCCTGAAACAAAACCACATATTTACAGCTGATTTTTGACAAAATTGGTAAGAACAAACACAGAGAAAAGACACTATTTTAGTAAATTGTGCTGAGAAAATTGGATTGACATATGCAGAAGAATAAAACTGGACCCCATCTCTTGTCATGTACAAAAATCAACTCAGGATGAATTAAAGATTAAAATATAATACCTGAAACTCTGAAAATACTAGAAGAAAACCTAAGGAAAACTCTTCTGGACAGTGGTCTAGGCAAAGAATTCATGCCTAAGACATCAAAAGCAAGGGCAAATGAAAACAAAAATAGACAAATGGAACTTAATTAAACTGAAAAGCTTCTGCGCAATAAAAGAAATAATTAACAAAGGGAATAGACATCCTGTATAATGGGAGAAAATATTTGCAACTATGCCTCCAACAAGGAAATAATATCCAGAATTTATAAGGAACTCAAACAATTCAACAAATAAAACCCAAATAACCCCATTACAAACTGGGCAAAGGACATGAATAGACATATTTCAAAGATGACATACAAATGGCCAATAAGCATGTGAAAAAATGCTCAAAATCACTAATAATCAGAGAAATACAAATGAAAACCACAATGAGATATTATCTTACATCAGTCCAAATGGCCATTATTAAAAAGACAAAAAAAAAAAACCAGATATCGGCAAGGATATAGAGAAAAATAGAACACTTACATACTGTTGATGGGAACATAAATTAGTACAACCTAAAAGTATGAAGACTTCTCAAGGAGCTAAACAGAACTACCATTTTATTCAGCAATCTCTCTTCTGAGTAGCCATACAAAAGCAAAGAAATCTTTACATCTAAAGGATACCTGCACTCATATGTTTATCACAGCACTATTCACGATAGCAAAGATATGGAATCAACATAAGTGTGCATCAATGTATGACTGGATAAAGGAAGTGTGGTATATACACATCATGGAATACTATGCAGTCATAGAAGATAATGAAACCATGTCTTTTGCAGCAACATGGATGGAGCTGGAGACCATTATCTTAAGTGAAACAAGTTTCAGAAACAGAAAGACAAATACATCATGTCCTTACTTTTAAGTAGGAGCTAAAAAATGTGTATACATGGACATTGTTTAGCTCCTACTTATAAGTGAGTGGAATTATGGAAATTGTGGATTCAGAAGGGTAGGAGAGTAGGAGGAGGGTGAGGGATGAGAAATTACATAATAGGTGCCATGTGTATTATTTGGGTGATGGATACACTAGAAGTCCAGACTTCACTACTATGAAATCTATCCATGTAACAAAATTACACATGTACACTATAAGTTTACACAAAATTTGAAATCCTCATTCTCACCCTAAGCACTATTGTCCAACCATTTTTCATAGAAAAAAGAAAACTTTCCTTCCTTGGCATCATGAAAAATTTCCTTCCACTCATTCTTTCTACATTTTAGGTATTTTTTCTTTCAATTTTAATTTCCACTACCTTTTTTCCTTTTCCCCTTTGTGTCTCTCACCTTTATTCATTAACTTTCTTTTTGACATTCTATTCATCTATTTCTATAATCTTCATTTATTGGCTCCATGTCAAGTATGTCCAACTACGTATTTCCAATGGCTGCCGAAGGCCTCTTGGATGTGGCACTGACACCCTAAACGAAGTGTACTTAAACAAGATGTTTTATTCAAACTGGATCTTCCCTTAAGAATCTTCAAAATATTTCAATTATCTTTGACTTTTTCCATTTCATAAATCCTTTTTCATTTAGCACTCAAATACAGTGGATTGTATTCCACAGTATTATTCACATCCACTTCCTCCTATTTCTCACTGCTGCCACTGCTCAATTTTAGGCCTTTACTAACATAGTCTTTTTCCGTTCCCTTCCCATTCAATGTATCTGTTGTCTTGTCATCAGAGTTAACATCCTTAAGTATAGCTCAGGTTATGTTTCCTCTACTAAAAATTTGGAGTGCAGTGGCACTACCATGGCTCACTGCAGCCTGGACCTCCCTGGGCTCAAGCGATCCTCCTGACTCAGCCTCCTGAGTAACTGGTGCACTACAGGCATGAACCACCATGCCCAGCTAGGTTTTGTTTTTTTTTTTTTTGTATAGGCAGGGTCTCACCATGTTGCCCCAGCTGGTCTAAACTCCTGAATTCATGCTGTCTGCCCACCAAGGTCTCCCAAAGTGCTGGAATTATAGGCACAAGCCATCACACCTGGCCTCCAAAACTTGTAATAGTTCAAATAATGTTCAGACTCAATATGCCATTCATAGACCTAGTTTGTGTGCATAACAGTTTACCCCCAAAACTTAGTGCCACTGAAAAAAACATTTATTGTGTTCAGGCATTCCTGGGTCAGGAATTTGAACAGGGCATAGTGCAGATAACTTGTCTTGCTCCACAGTGCCAAGGGTCTCATCTGGAAGACTTGAAAGCTGGGAGCTATACTTGTCTGAAGTCTCAGTTGTTCACATGTCTAGCAACTGATGTTGGTTAGTCCTTCCCACATGGGCCTTTTTATGTAGTTTTTCTGCATGGGCTAGTTTGGGCTTCCTCACAGCATGGAGGCTGACTTACAAGGGCAAGAGTCCCCATCAAAAGGCAGTCAAACAGAAGCTCTAGCCTTTTGATGACCTAGCCTCAGAAATCACAGAGCATCACTTGCACAGTATTGCACTATTAGCTGGAGCAGTTTTGAACCAACCCAAATTCTATAGAAAGTACAATTCACATCTTTATGGGAAATTGCAAGGTTCTAGAAACATGGAGACTGCAAATAATATTGTGGTCATTTTAGGAAAATATCATCTGCCACAGATCTCCACCAGCTGGCCTTAACCTGTCTTCTCAGCTGGTTGTTGTACTAATTCCTTATGAAATGTTTTTCTTCCTCCTACCCTGACCCCTCCCCTACGTATCCACCCTTATCTTGAGGTTAAGCATACCACTGCCCTTTTCTGAAATTCTCATCCGAACTAAGCTTAGATAAGCAAAGGAGGGGAAATAAGTAAAGATAGTTTCATTTACCTTAAGATACTAACCTGGAATTACAGACTTTATACCTTAAGAGATTACCAATCTCAGTAACAAAAATTTTAGGCTGTAAATTCTTCATTTGGCTAGAATCATAAAGTGACACTTTTTGTTCAACCGAGTCTACTCCTCACATGAGCTGTAATGACTCTTCCCATCCCCAGTTTTGTTTCCTATCTTAAATCTTTCTACTCCATTGAAGATAATCCTAGGTTGACCCAACACAAACCTGGACACAGCCTGAGAGAAAAAAGAACAATCAACTTGGCAGAAGAAATCGGTCAAAAAACTGAGACACAGGAGACACATAGAATACAGAAGAAAAAAGAAATTCAGTGTCCATCTGAAATGGGCTCAATTGACACCTTGAGGGAAAAAATAAAGTCCTATTTCAAATCATCCTCAGGACTGTCTACATGTCTGATAGGCTAACAGAAGACACTTTTACTGATGTCTTATAACACCTCAACTTTTTAT